>NC_000001.11:234972000-235123515 GCF_000001405.40 Homo sapiens
AGACTTCTAAAGTGTAAACTTTAGAGCACTTTGTAAACCAAAGCTTCTAAATGCTGTAAATGCTGCAGACACCAGGTTCATGTGAAAAGCGTATCTGCCATGGAAAAAAATACACGCACGAGAAAATGGAGCAAGGTCACATGAATCTACTCAGAAATGAGACCTGGAACCTGAAAAAGAAAGTGTGTGTGTGTGTGTGTGTGTGTGTGTATTGGGGGAGGGATGGGTGCATAGCAGCATCATAAGCACATAAGAGCGTAGCACACAGTAGATATTTATTAGGTTGTGCAAAAGTAATTGGGGTTTTTGCCACTAAAGGTAATGGTGAAAACCGTGATTACTTTCACACCAATGTAATAAGGATTGGGCGGATGAACAAATGAGCAAGTGAATGAATTACAGGAATGAATTGGTTTAGAAAACAAAGCAAAAAGGAGCTGAAACTTTCTCGGGGGTGGATGGGGTTGGTGCTGGATCAGTTTGGAAGAGAACAGACTTCTAAAGTGTAAACCCAAACCAGGAGTCTGACATGATGACTGATGATAATGACACTCGGTAACGAGCTTGAACACTTGCCACGTGCTGGACACGGTGAGTGTCTGACACACATCATCTCGGCTGGTTCTCATAGCAACCCCAGGAAGTAGGAACTAGGTTAAGGGTATGTCGACTCTTTGGGGCACCAGAGAAGAAAATCCTGGACCTGAAGGGTTTAGGAAGATTTGAAGCAGATGTATCCAACCAAGAGCAACCCATGTGTAACTCCAAGCTGGCAAAGTGGGTTCTTTAGTGGCCCTGCCTGCCTAAGTCTGACCTCCACTGTAGTTTCTGCCCGCCTCGGTCACTGTTGAGAGGAGACAATTGCTCTCCTGCTGACTTACCGTGCAGAGACCCTGAGGGGGCCGAGGGTGGAATGGCTCTGATCCCAGGCAGCAAAAGCTGGCCTAGCCACCTCCTTCCCATTGCTCCTTCCTTCCCGCAGAAACTGCGGGAGGGAAGGGAAGAATTGGCATCCCTAGGCTTCGAGGGCGGTTCTTTTGTGCTTCCGGCCCCAGCCTTACTGGGCAACCGCTGGGCTCTTGAGGAAGCAGACTCCAGTTTTCCAGGACATTAAGGGACTGAGGTAGCCAGAGTGATGCCAACGGGCCTGTCCTTGGTGGCCTCCACGGACCTTCTCTCACCTTTATGAGAAGAGCAGGAAACTTTGGTTTGACCCAACTGAAGCGCTGGTGCCTCGCAGCAGCTCTGGTTTATTAAGGCTGAGCAGGCTCTGTTTTCAACATCGTCACAGGGATCATTTTCCTCCACCTCACGTTTCCTCTCCTGGAAATGCACCTTAGTCATTTTTTGGTCACTTCAGGGGAATTCTCCCTCCTTCATGGTCTACACCATTGCTCTACTGAATTATTCTTTCTTCCAAACATGCTATTACAGCCCTGACACCACAGGTGTACATTTAATAAAAATAATCCTCCAGGGGCATCATTTGAAATATCCCCCTCTCATGTAAGATGTTTCCCTGAGAGGTGGAGTGGGGTGAGGTGGGAGGGACCTTGGAGGAGGAGCTTCTGCTTGAACACAGCTCGTTGCCCTCTGATTACCAGGACAGAGTGGAGTTGGCTGTCAACTTGAGCTTCTTGCCTACTCCTCACGGACCCTGGACCCCCATGCCCATACATCCCAACAGACTGGATTCCTATTACCCACCCATGGGCATGCCATTAAAAATATGGAATATGAATAAGCTCCAGAACGCACTGGACTCTGCAACTCAGCAGGTGTGTGATCAACCTGAACAAAAGACAGAGCCCTTAGCCACTGCCAGGTGGTTTAGCAAGGGCGTTGAGAAGCTGTTTGGCTAACAGCACACAGACCAGTCTGTGCTCCCGTGATGGGGGCAAAGATGAAGCAGATGCCCTCGTGGCCACCTGACACAGCAAGTTGCTAGCCTCCCTAAACACACACACGCAGTCATGACCTCCAGTGTCCCTGGAAGGTGGCACGGGTAACAGCCAGTGCATGCTCTCTAGTCCTGGCCAGCTGGAGTCCAAGCCTTGGATAATAATACCTCCTTGATGGGCTAATACAGTGTTTATAGCACTTCTGGCTTCTGGTAGGCCGCTTTTTATTGTTGGCAGAAACAATGTTTACAGTGGCTTGGTGCTGAAGATCACTGCAATTTATTGAGCCATTTTTATGAGCCATGTGTGTTAAATACATTACCTCTACTCACATTAGCCGTCAAGGTAGGTATCATTATTCCTGTTTTACAAATAAGAAACCTGAGCTTAAAGCAGTTAAGTAATTTGCCCAAAGTCACATAGATAGTGGCAAAGAGATGGCTCCCATTAAGGTAATCCATGCCTCCTTCACGGCGCTGTGCTGGCCTGCATGGAGAGACAGGTCCACACAAGCAGAGCCCCTACTTCAGGGCAACACAGAGTAAATCCAAGTGATTATGCAAAAGGGCGATGGTCGTGTGTGTGTGTGTGTGTGTGTGTGTGTGTGTGTGCGCGCGCGCGCTCACCCTCAGCTCAGGACAGCGCTTTTCAGCTGCACACAGTCTGCCAAAGGCCCATGTTCAAAACCCACCTATTGAAAAGCTTGATTCTGACCCTCAGCCCACAGCAAATGTAGGAAACAAACAAAGGGCATTCATAAAGACTAGGGTTCAATGCAAAGTTCCTGCACATAGTAAAGCTCAATAAACCAAGCAGTCAAAACCACTGGAAAGCATCAGTAGACATTCAGGTAATGATACATTTATTTTAAGCAGTCAGAAAGGAAGAGCAAAAGGTAAAATCAGCTTCTGCATGGGTAGAGGTTTATCCTTGCCCCTTCTTCGAGATAGAGCTAACAAGCCCAAAGTGACTTGAACAAGGAGAAGGAGCCTCTTGCAGGTCACTGGCATCCATAGATAAACTGTAATGGAAGTGTGGCTATGGGGATAAGTGGGTTTTAACACATCGGCTTTGACTGGTGACAAACACTCTTTTGCTCTATATCCCTCCATACCCCCTTTAGTTCCTTGATGATAAAGACTCCCCCTTTAGCTTTTCCAGGCCACTCTTGTTGAGAAGCCAGTATTCTAGAAGTTGAAGTGGCCTTGGAGGTCATTCTTTGTTGCAGCAAACTTTCCTTGCTGAATCAGACCCCATAAAATACCAACTATGAGTCACACACAAGTAAATGAGCCGCTATTGGGAAGAGAGATAATGGGGTGATATTTATCAGTGGCTGAATCTTAGCAAACAATGAGCATTGCCTAATCAGTGGTCATGTTCGTGTAGATTACCTTCCAGTTCACTGCATGGTAGCTCTTGGGATGGTTTCTAACTGTCAATATTTACAGGAACCAGGCACTTAACACAGACCAAGTGGGCTGGATGTCTCCACGGATGACTCATGCCAAATGAAGCCTTTTATCTAAGGGTCACTGCTCTGAATCCTCATTGGCTAGAGCAGATTGGAAGTGATCAGGTCACTGAAAAGCTTGTACATGGCTGTGGGCTCAGTTCCGTTCTCTGGATGTACCAACATTTATGAAATGAAAGCGTAGAAGAGAGCAAGGGTTTGAACGCGTGTAGACCTGTAGTATTTGTTTGTTTTTATTGGCTAACTAGTAAATATAGCTCTGGGGCTAGGGGAAGGTGGCAGTGAGATGGCACCATGAGCCCACATCAGTCTCCATTTGCAGCAAGATTCATACCCTTGAGTGATAGGAGCCTGCATCACCCCAGACCTACCTGAGAAGGCGTCTGCGCATCAGCCAAACATGCAGACAGACACACACCGAGGAAGGGGTGCAGCTTAGAACCCAGCAGATCACCTTGCCTGGTTATGTAAGTAAGCAGAGTAGACCTGTCTGCCCAACCAGTCCAGGTAGAAAACCTTGGCTCCGTTCAAGCATTGGGAGATAATTTCTTTGGATTTTGAAAGCTTAGGATATTCAGGAGGCACTCATCTAAAACGCAGCTAACCTCAGGAGTAGGGCACACCCTAGGTCCCATCAAATAAGAGGATTCTGCTTGGGAGTAAGCAGGGAGCAAGAGGAAGAAGGCAGGGCCGAGGGGCAGAAATGGAGGCCAGGAAAGGAAGGCACTGCAGGAGGAAGTGGGGCAGGAGAAGCTGAGCATACCCAGGCTTTGGGACACTCTTGCTGGGCTGGCCCTCAGAACATCACTGGAATAGACATAGAAAAGAAAGGGAAGCTTGTTTTAACATCAACGTTAAATGAAGAAATGCCACGAGACTTCAGAAACACCACTATGGATATGAGGGAAAAGTGAATGTGATGTGCAAATTTCACTCCCCAGCATGCACAAAGAAGCTGATTGCAGCCACATTGGCAGTCACATCTTGGCCAAAGTCCTCTGGGGACCCAGTACTATGCAACACGGGACCCGTTGGTCAACACTGAGCTCTTGGAATCCCAGTTCCCTTTAAAATCAGCGAACTAAGCCAGGATTGCAAAACGACCAATGGGACAGGATTATTATTGTGTTGAGTGGTGAAAAATGTCTTTGATCCAAAATGGTAGATACTGTAGAAGAACGAGGAATATTGAGTCTTCCATACTGAGCCTGTTTTAAATGGGCTTGGCTTGTTAATAGGCGCAGCAGGTTTGAAGACTGGGGGGTGTTTCCAGAGATCCCAAGATGATTTCAGAATGAAATGAGCTGGTGATTCCTGCAGATAAAGAGATCAGAGCACACAGCCATCCTCCAGGGCCATAAATCAAAGGACAGTCCTGTAGCAATTGTGTGGAAACACAACATTGCCATCATTTTTGCACACAAAGGACAAAAAGTGACATAATTCGTGCCCCAGAGAATCATTTTATTGCAGCCTTTTCCAGCCACCATGCCCCATAAAGCTGGGACTGGCAAACACTGGCAAACACACTGCCAGCCACACAGTCACAGCGTGTCCACAACAGCTGGGGTCCCTGTTCCCAGTCTTTCTGAGATGCACACATGCGGCTGCTTCGTCAGGCCATGTGTGTGTTCTGGCCGTGAGTGTGTATACACGTGAGCTAAAAACAAACTTGGAGAGTGGGGGACAGCCAAAAGAAAATGATGCTTCTGATTCTATACTGAAGGGTCTCCATTCTATTCCAGAGCTTCCGTAGGGCGGCATCTGCTGGAGAGCACTCTGTTTCATTTCCCCCTAAGTTTCTGCTTTCTGCTGAGGGTAGAGGTAAGGAGAGGCTGAGTAGGGAGGGTTTGGGAGGAGAAAATGAAGAAGAAAAGATGAGCTCGTTCCCGTTCCTCTTTTCCTGTACTTCTCTACTTTCATCTGTAGATCATCTAGAATAACTTGCAGATGGCTATATGCTCAGTGAACGTGTTGAGAGGCTGTATTCATTTTCCCGGGCTGTCATAACAAAGTACCACAGACTGGCTTAAACAACAGAACTTTACTTCTTCACGGTCTGGAGGCTGGAAGTGTGAGGTGTAGGTGCCGGCGGGGTTGGTTTCTTCTGAGGCCTCTCTTTGGCTTGGAAATGGCCATCTTCACCCCATGTCCTCAGATGGGCTTCCCTCTGTGTGTGTCTATGTCCTCATCTCCTCTTCTTAGAAGAACACCAGTCATATTGGATTAGGGCCCATCTTCGTGACCTCATTTGTACTTAATCACCTCTTTAAAGACCCTCACACTTGGCCAGGCACAGTGGCCCACACCTATAATTCCAGCAGTTTGGGATCACTGAAGTGATCACCTGAGGTCAGGAGTTCGAGACCAGACTGACCAACATGATGAAACTCAGTCTCTACTAAAAATACAAAAATTAGCCCGGCGTGGTGGTATGTACCTGTAATCCCAGCTACTTGGGAGGCTGAGGTAGGAGAATCACTTGAACGCTTGAACCCGGGAGGCAGAGGTTGCAGTAAGCTGAGATCACGCCACTGCACTCCAGCCTGGATAACAGAGCGAGGCTCTGTATCAAAAATTAAGTAAATAAATAAATAAAGACCTTATCACCAAATAAGGTCACATTCTGAGGTCCTGGGGGTTAGATATTCAACCACAACAAAAGCAGAGCAGGAAGAGATGTAAACAAATGTGCAGAGCCCTGGCAGAAGCTTGGCACTGTGCCAGGCAGGAGAGAGAAAAAGTGGGAGAGACATTATCTCAACGTGATTGAATGATGAAATGATAGCCCTGGTGAGTGAGTGAATAGGTGGATGGATCAATCATGAATGAATTGAATGAACATCAAAACTGCTCCCCGAATCCAGAGGACTCAACAAACTCCAGGCATACCAAGTCCAGAAGCCGAGTCCAGAGCTGACAGCCTATTCCCATCTCTATCTCCCACGGAGCTGCAGAGATCATTAGGGAACTAACGTGGCCACTGCTTCATGCCCACAGAGGCCCACCAGCTCTTTCCTAGAGCAGAACCACCGTGCAGAGAGGTGAGGCACTCCCAGATGAAATCCAGGCCTTCCCCATCTGTGAGCCCTTTCCCAAAGTGGGCTCACAGCAGCCCACAGTCACAAAGCAGAACTGAAACCCCCTACAGGCAGCATCTCAGGTCAGCTGTGCGGACAGCGCTACCTGCCACAGGCCACACCAGCTGCAGTGCGGTGACGGGTGGTGTTCTATGCCTGGGATAGTGTCACCCTGCCAAATGAGAGTGAAAGTCTCCACATCCTCCACGCCATCCCCTCAAAACACTCCCGGTGCCCGAAACTGTACCCCTAAGTAAGGAAGCCAAATTAGAGGAACAGAGAGGGAACATGCCCCTGAGCTTTCTCATCAGTGCATTCTTCCACGCACTGCAGATAATTCAGCTACGTCACTCAATTATGATTGTCTGTGCTGTGAGTGTTTACTTAATCAATCTTCAAAGAGCTTTCCAGATGGGTGTTTTGGTGACTAAATCAAGGTCAGAGTTCCTCCTGCAATCAAGCAGAGGCAGCAGGGGGCAGGCCCAGCTGACAGTCATCTGATCTCCGCAGCTGTGCACAAACTTTGAACCAGTCCAGTGTCTCTTTCAGGCTCCCCATGAACCCCAGTCCTTAGTCCACTCCTGAATTGCAACAACACACAACACAAATGCACACAGCGATGCCTCCCTTTCTTGGATGACTCTTTTATATCATGTTCCTGCACATTCTCCCTCCAGTCCAAACATAAGCAAGTTGCACAGCGTATCCATGAATCTTTCCTTTATTACAGAATCTGCACTCCAAAAGCACTGGCTTGGTATTTCCTCTGCCCCGGTAGGGATTTTTATGGGGTTTTTATTTGGTTTCATTTTTGCCATGCTTCTGAGAATGGTTCTTTTGTTCTTCCTTCACTCACCGCTTAGATCCTCCAAGGCATTCCACTCAGAAAATCACACGGCTGCTGCCCCCACTCCAAAAAAAGGGAGCTGAGAAAAACCCCCATTTTCCTATGGATTTTCAAGCCAAAAAACAATGGGCTCTGTGGACAGATGTCAC
This sequence comes from Homo sapiens, assembly GCF_000001405.40. Lineage (NCBI taxonomy): Eukaryota > Metazoa > Chordata > Mammalia > Primates > Hominidae > Homo > Homo sapiens. Next base: position 234,979,452 of record NC_000001.11, read on the forward strand.
CCCTCCCCCAGGCCATGCCCCTCACTGCCAGGCAGGGGAAGCAGAGGCGAAGGAGGAGGGCCCACTGCGCCCTAGGACTTGGGAATAGCTCTCAGCACCACGGTGGTGGGCTCCATTGTATGTCTTCCAGGACAGGGGCCCCTTCTTCTGGAAAGTACCCCCTCCCTAGCACAAATCAGAGTCCAGATGTGAGCAGGCATCAGTTCAGCTCTTCCCAAGCCGCAGTGTTTGAGCCAATGATGGTCACCTGGCCCCAGTGAAGGCCGTGAAGGCCCCTCTCTGTCCCTTTCTGGCAGTGAAGTCATGAGGTACAATAAGCAAAAGCTGCCATCGTGCACATTACCTGCCATAGAGAGGAAGCTTAGCAAAGAGATTTAGATCAGTATTCAGAGGAAGTTGAGGCGTGAGAAAAGAGAGAGCACGTGGCAGTGTTGGCTCCCAGTTGCAGGTGTCCAGGGTCACACAAAGCCCCCTTTTAAAAGCCCAGGCTGGTTTGACTTGCATTTCTCTCTCTAGAAGCTCTCAAGTCCTTGTTGAATATGGCAGTGACTGGATGCTGGCCATCCTACCTGAACTAGACCAGCCGAGCCTCTGCTCTGGCCAAGCAAATGGGAGGAGATGGAGGGAGAAAAGAGGAAATGGGAGAGACTGGGCCGGAAGAAGAACCCCTGTCCAAGGTGATGGAGGGCGTCGGAACACAGAACACCTGTAGCAGTTTTGCAGAGGGCTTCCAATTCTTTATCAAGCCTGCACCCGACTCTTAGGTTATACAGTCTTAGGCACAAGCAATTATCTGAATAATTGGAGTGTTTCTTAGAAGAGGTTTTAGGTGTCAGCAGCGATGTCTGTTCAGACGGCACACTAGTGACAGATCCTTGGAAAACTCCATGCTCTAGAAGAAAAAGCCAATCCTGACTTTTCACTTCGGAATGTCTCAGCTCCCCACCTGACCCTCTCCTATCGTATCATTGGCTAAATAGACAAAGGGACCACAAGAAAACTACCTCCTCCTTCAACTGCCTCCTCCATCAGTCTAGCGCCTGCCTAGGTGGAGCCCCTGAGAACTATGCTGCTCCCCCAAATGCAACTCCCACAAAGGAGGGAGCTCTTGAGGCAGGCACAGATCCAGGATTTGCCTCGGCTCTCTATGTCACTAGCCTCTCTCAGCTGAAACCACAGGAAGGCCTCAGGTCAGAAGGCTTACCCAATGTGAAGCAAGGTCATAGGGTCCAGCTGAGCCCCCTCACTCATCCAAAGGGGTCAAGGGAGGGCCAGCGGCTACAAGGGGTCAGAGCCTCAGGTTTGACTCCAAGTTCAAAGAATCTAGCTAAAGCCACACTGTGCCCCCTGGCACCACCCTCAGAAACAGATCCAATCCTGAGTCAGAGAGGAAGCAGACACTCACTGAATCACGCATCCACTTCCTCCTACCCACAGCCGCTCAGCCAAGACCAGCAGCCGCTTCCAAGGGACAAATTAGTGACTGACACTCGGAAAAGTTGATGCTGTAAAGGAGAGCAAGCAGGGCGCCACGCACGCGGTGTGAACCACCAGGACCGAGTTTACTGTGGCTCCCCACCCCCTGCATTTTTCAGAGTAAAACTGCACATTTTGTAACAGCCCCTATCCTGTCCTGCACTGACCTTGGCTGTGTTATTTTTCACTTCCCTGTTCAGAACACAGCCACACTTTCCAAATGCCATGAATCATCACCACCGAGCAACGGCCATTTAGCAAGGCAGGAAACCACTGCGCACCAGGCCTGGAAGGAGTAGCTCCCTGCAGTGGGCCTCTCCCACCCTGGCTGTTCGTCGTGGCAAGAGTCCACCACGGAGGCTGGCAGGGCAGAGTTGCCACCCCATGTTCTCAGTTTCTCCACCATCGTCCCTGGGGGCTTCCAGTTCCCCCTTGCACTAGGTCACAGGCAGCGTTAGCCATCTTCTGACTTTCCCGAAGCCTCTCTTGGTTGCATTGGCTGAAATGAAGCTGTCACCTTCCAATCTCGGAAGGGAGAGAAATTCTTGGTGACATTGGCTGAAGTGAAGCTGTCATCTTCCTATCCCAGAAAGGAAAGAAATGGGGAGACCCATTCGAGACCAAGGGAGGCCAGGCGCCATGGCTCACGCCTGTAATCCCAGCACTTACGGAGGCCGAGGCAGGCAGATCGCTTGAGTCCAGGAGTTCGAGACCAGCCTGGGCAACATGGTGAAACCCCGTCTCTACTAAAAATACAAAAATTACCCAGGCTTGGTGGTACATGCCTTTAGTCCCATTTACTTGTGGGGCCGAAGCAAGAAGATCCCTTGAGCCAGGGAGGTCAGGTAGATTAGATCAGGTGGATCTTGCACAGACATCAACAAGACATGGGACGTGCATTCTGCCTGCAAGTGGCCTTGCAGTTATAGGCAAATGTCATCCTGTCATCCTTTATGACCAGAGCCATGCAGGCTTCTAGATGCCATTCAACCAGTTCCTGAAAGTAGTCACCGGTGAGTCCATAAATCAATCAATCAACAAAATATTATTACCCTCAAATGGTTATCAAACTGTTCTGTGCTAGGCACCTGGCACCATGGCTCTCTGAATAACATATGTCTGCCTTCATGCCAGCCTTAGTTCCTCATGTAGTAATGATATCCTCATATGAAGTCATTATTTTTGCCTCTATTTAACCATAAACAGTACCATTCAAAAGTAAAATGATCTAGGAAAGGCAAATCAATACAACAATAAAACATCAGTTTTAACCTATCAGATTGGCCAAAACTTTAAATATTGTCAATGGCTAGTGTTGGCCAGAGAGTGTGGAAATGGGAACTCTCCTTATTATTGGTAGATGTTTAGTGTTATACATTTTCTGGGAGAAATTTGACCCTGTACATTAAAATTATTCATGAGTACTCTTTGTCTTCTTAATTTTAAAACTAGGAATTTATTCTCAGTTGAGCCACCAGAAAAAAATTGCACAGATAGTCATCACAGTGTGGCAAATAAATCTAAAAAATAAATAAAGCTGAAACAACCTAGAAGTGATTGAGTCAGTGACTTATAGTATGTTTAATCATATGCTATGCAACCATTAAACATAATGTTGGAAATCTACATCCAAAGCCATAGGAAGATATTCACATGGATCATTCTGATAGATAAAAAGTAGGAGCTGATACAACATTTGCAGCCCATTTATGTAAAAATGTTGTTGTGAGGGCGTATTCATAAAAGAGACACCTGGAGGCTTATCAAATCGTTGACAGTGGTCACCTCTGCAGAGTGGGATTTGGGGATGATTTTTACTTTCCTCACATTTTCTGTATGTCTTAAAATTGCCTACAATACATATGAAGCATACTTACAGTCAGAAAATATACACACATTGGCCTGGCGTGGTGGCTCACGCCTGTAATCTCAGCACTTTGGGAGGCCGAGGTGGGTGGATCACCTGAGGTCAGGAGTTCGAAACCAGCCTGACCAATATGGTAAAAACCCGTCTTTACTAAAAATACAAAAATTAGCCCAGCGCAGTGGCATGCACCTGTAATCCCAGCTACTCGGGAGGCTGAGGCAGGAAAATCGCTTGAACTAGGGAGGCGGAGGTTGCAGTGGGCCGAGATCATGCCACTGCACTCCAGCCTGGGCAACAGAGCAAGACTCTGTCTCAAAAAAAAAAAAAAAATTTAAAAAGAGAGAAAATATACACACATTTCTTTTCATTTTAAAACCAAATGCAACACAAATCTAAAAGCTGTTTGCCTAACAGATCATATCTGTGCAAGATAAGTTTTACATGTTCTCTTTCTGATGGAAGATGTTTCTGCGGACATTCCACCAGAAGGTCGTGGGTCCTAAGCTGTTTTTCCAGAGCTCTGATAGGCTGAACTGAATTATGTTCACACTCTCTTACGCAGCCCCTGTGTGGCAACCTGATGGATCAGGATGGCTGACCAGGGGTGGAGGGGTAGAGACAGGGACATGGCAGAGTTTTCTCCAACAGGTGCCAAGTATCCAGTGTGGTAATCAAATCCCAGCTTGGAATTAACTAAATTAACTACCACAGACCTCTCTGGGTGGCCAAGCAAATTCAGACGTTTTGAAAATATATAACTCACAACCTCTCTCTCTCCTCAGCTCCAGAAATAAATTCCAGACCCTTGGAGATCACAAAAACCTAAAGCCAGAAAGATCCGTAGGCAGTCATGTATTTTGGACTCCTCGTTTGACGTTTGAGGGAACCAAGGCTCAGAGAAGTGAAGTGACTTACTCAAGGTCACACAGCATAAGGGTGGCAGACACAAGAGAGCTTGTGTCTCTTCATCTGTAATCCAAGGTTGCTTTTGCTATAATGCATCTAGCACCAGTACAGTGGGCAGGGGTGGGTGTTAGTGTGGAAGATGTCCTTCATACCATCATAAACGGTTCCTGTGAGGGGTCCAGAATATACTATGATGGCCTCTGGCCCTGTAGAAGAGTCTAGTTAGAGTTACATGTGAGCATTCTTAACCAGAAAGTCATGTATTTTTCTGAAAGGGGATAGAGAGAGAGCTTTCACTATATTTCAAAGGGGTCCCATCACACAAGGAAAACTAAAAATGGATGAACTAAAGCATGGGTTAGCAGATGTTTTCTATCAAGCTCCATCGAGTAAATATTTTGGGCTTTGCAGGCCGCATGGTCTCTCTCCCAGCTACTCAACTCTGCCCTTGTACTGTGAAAGCAGCCATTGATCAAATGTGAACAAACGGGCATGGTTGTGTTCCAATAAAGCTTTATTTACAAAAACAAGCTGTGGGCCAGATTTCGCCCAGGTTTGCCAACCCCAAAACCTAAGGATCCGATCAACTTCCTTTCTATTACATTAGATGCTGCTTGCCCCTGCTCTCGGGTGAACTGAATGACATCCATATTCCTGGCAATGGATCCAGCACTTAGCCAGGGACCACCAAGGAAGTGGAGAGGCACATAAAAGGCATTCGTTTCACTTTTTCATTAAACAACAACTTCTTTGAATTCCTAATTGGAAACTTTCACACAAGAATCGAGGTTGCTGCAACTCATTTCCTGCTGCCCTGCTTGCAGTGTATTTTCAGCAAAATAATTGTTGAGTGTGGAGGCTGACATTTGACCTCTGGTGGCTGCCAGCAACATACTTTGCTGACTCATTTGCATATATGGTGTTCGAAACACACTGGCACATTCTTCCCTTTTCGCATGAAGCCCAGACGTCCTTGATTAACTGGAGACTAAAATAAGATCTCAAGGTGGAGCGAGGCTAGGAGGGAACTGGAGATTTTTTTCTCCTGTTGTGGCCAAGGAGCACTTTTTTTTTTTTTTTTTTGAGACTGAGTCTCACTCTGTCGCCCAGGCTGGAGTGCAGTGGCGCGATCTCGGCTCACTGCAGCCTCCGTCTCTCGGGTTCAAGCGATTCTCCCACCTCAACCTCCCGAGTAGTGGGGACTGCAGGCGCGTGCCACCACACCCGGCTAATATTTTATTTTTAGTAGAGACGGGGAGTACAGTGGCACGATCTTGGCTCACTGCAACCTCCACCTCCTGGGTTCAAGCGATTCTTCTGCCTCAACCTCCCGAGTAGCCAGGACTACAGGCACGTGCCACCACACCCATCTAATTTTTCATTTTTAGTAGAGACAGGGTTTCACCATGTTGGCCAGGCTGGTCCTGAACTGCTGACCTAAGGTGATCCGCCTGCCTGGGATTACAGGTGTGAGCCACCACGCCCAGCCCAGGGAGCACTTTAATGCAAGTTGAGAAGTACTCAGCACCTCCTCTGTTACCGGGTCAGGCCTTGCAATGTGTACAAAGCACCGGGCCTGGGATCCAGGACATTGGTCCTCTGCATTTGTCAGATCCCATTTGTCCTGGTGTCCCCTGGGAGACATGTCACTCTCCTGCTCCACAGACCCTCACCCACCTACAACCCTTGGGCCTTGCCCCTTCCAAATTCTGGTACCAAAAGGACTGGGTCAGTTGGTTCTAAAAGTGAGAGGCAGGTGAAAAAAAAGTTTTTCCATTTGTGCAATGATAGTTGTGAATACTCTCTGACCCTATGCAGCAGAAATCCCATCTGTGGATAATAGCTTTGGGGTGCAAATGCCTTCTCTGGGCTGTTTTAGACCCCATTCCATGCTTTGGCATTAGGACATACACAAACACACTTCTCTAAGGGACACAAGAGGTAACAAAGCCCTCCTTCCAAGAGGACAGTGGAGGAGGGAGAGACCAGGCTGGCGTCAGGCCAGCAAGGAGCCGGTATTGAGTCCTCCACTCTGTCTCCCACCTGGGTGTCCCAGTCCCTGGACAAGCTGGCTCCTGCGGGAGGCCCCCATTTCACATCTCAAGCGGCTTCCAGAGGATTCAATGAGCTATTTTTTTCCTTTTTCTCTTGTTATATAAAAATTATAGGAGGCCATTGTTTTGAACCAAGCTCCCACACTAGGCCCCAACAGACCAGACTAAAAATCAACATGGGCCAGGCACAGTGGCTCACACCTGTAATCTCAGCACTTTGGGAGTCTGAGGCAGGCGAATCCTTGAGCCCAGGAGTTTGAGACCAGCCTGGCCAACATGGTAAAACCCCATGTCTAGAAAAAATAACAAAAATTAGCAAGGTGTGGTGGTGTGCACCTGTAGTCTCAGCTACTCGGGAGGCCAAGGCAGGAGGATCACCTGAGCCTGGGAGGTCAAGGTTGCAGTGAGCAGAGATCATACCACTGCAACCCAGCCTGGGCACCAGAGTGAAACCCTGTCTCAAAAAAAAAAAAAAAAAAAAAAATCGGCCGGGCGCGGTTTTTACAGGCTCAAGCCTGTAATCCCAGCACTTTGGGAGGCCGAGGCGGGTGGATCACGAGGTCAGGAGATCGAGACCATCCTGGCTAACACGGTGAAATCCCGTCTCTACTAAAAATACAAAAAAATTAGCCGGGCGTGGTGGCGGGCGCCTGTAGTCCCAGCTACTCGGGAGGCTGAGGCAGGAGAATGGCGTGAACCCGGGAGGCGGAGCTTGCAGTGAGCCAAGATCGTGCCATTACACAACAGCCTGGGTGACAGAGCGAGACTCCGTCTCAAAAAAAAAAAAAAAAATCAAACTGGAGTCACCCACGCTAAAGTTCCATACCACCAAACCAAAACAAGGTTGTTATCTGACCTTCTGAGAATGGAGAGAGAGAACAGCCAATCTCCCAAAAGGCCCGTTTAAATCTTCAATCAGAATGATAATGAAGTTCTTTCTGCTTTAATCCTACCACAAAAAAAGGTAGCATGAAGTCACCCAAGGTTAACTAACGAGTTATTTTTCTATTGTTCTATCTCCCTGTGCCCTCCTTACAAGAACAAGTAACATTGAAAAGTAACTAATACAATCTTTGTTCCCTGTTTCTGTTTTCTTCAGTCCTTCTCTGTCTACAAAGCCAACCTCTTCAGCTCAGCTCAGGGAACACTTATTCCATTGTGTGGAATGAAGTGTTGTTCGATGCCAGAATCACAAATCAAGACAATCAAGGTCTTTAAGCTAAATTTTTTGTCATTCTGGTTTTTGACACTCTTTTCTACCGGGACCTGTTTCCCAGCTTTCTCATGGAAAATCCCTGAGCCGGCCACTTCCTGTTTTTGTTTTGCTTTTCTACCCCATTGGTGTACCCTTTGACCTTTTGTCCCTTGTCATGATCCTCCATCTCAAACTGGGAAACCACGCATAGATCAAATCCCCAGCCCCAAGCAGCTAGCTCTGTGCCGCGTGTACTAAACAAATCCTTTCTCCGAGGGGTCCTCTGAGTTGCTTCCTTACCTACAAATGGGATGCTGAGAAGACTTAGGCATTTGTTTTGGGCTCTGCTGGGCTCCCTACCCTGTGTCGTGATGCCCCCAGCAAAGCCCTAGGCAGGGGTGGATGCCGGGGTGCAGGATCTCTACATGCAAACTTTAGTAACAATCATTGCTGAGTTCTGAAACTTCTTGATCCACTTTTATTTGGAGCTAGAGGTTCTCTTCTGCTTTGTTTTGACAACTAGACTGGCTAGACTATGGCCTGGTGACGCCTGTTCTTTTTCCTTCTTTTCTCCTGTTTTGTCCCCTGCCTCTGGGCCCGGCATTCCTGGCATATTTGGAAAGAGTAGGAGCTGGCCTGAGGCCACTTTTCCGAGTATCTTCTCAGCCCTGCAGTCCCGTTTCCAACACACAGTCTCTTTGCTTTTGTTTATTCTGCGTTTCACACTCCCAGTCAGGAGCCAGTCCCACAGGCAGGCCCAGAGATCAGACTGCACAGGCGAGAGGGCTGGAAACTCCAGGGTCCTCACCGCCTCTGCAGGTGGAACATGCAAACCGGTCAGACAAAGGAGGGGTTAACCTTGTACCCATCTTATGGGGAATTTCCCCAAATACATCTGGCACCTACGAAGTGAAAGGGAAAAAAGAACCCCACACAGTAAGCCCCACTGCCTTTGAGGATTTACTGCCTGGAGCATGGTCCACTGCAACCTCATTAAGGGCCCAAAGTTAAGCACTATTTTCCCTTGGTCTCTGTCTCCCCGGCTGACCTTCGCTAGCACACTTTACCCCTCCAGCCTCAACTTTCCTCTCTCTGGAGGCGCCTAAAGAGGCTTACAGAGCAAGGCGCTTCCAGCCAGGGCTCAATCGGGTGGTACCTGGGGTGACCTCATTTTCTGTCAGGCCCAGCTAGGCCTGTCTTACATCTTACCTGGAGGAAAGGTCAACACAATTCATAGCAGAGGAAAACCTGAAGTTTACTCTAGTCTCTAAATTGTTTTCAAGTTCCCATGGGGGAAAGAGATTGATTCATTTTGTTAATAAGCAAAGGTCTTATTTTTCCACCTTTAGTCGTATAAACGTCAAGGGGGAAAAAAAGGCTTTGTATTCAATCAAAAGACAGTTCCAGCATTTTAAAAAAGTCAAGTGGAGATGAAACAGATGATCTTCCAGGAAAAAAAAAAATAGTCTTAACTCCCAAATTATAACACCTTAAATTATCTCATGTTTAATTCTAGCAACAAAGACCTCAGTGTTTGCCTGTGTTAAAGAATAGTTAAAAGCATAGAGTGTTAGGAGCTACAGCCAAGATTCTTCCAGGTTTCTTGTGCCCTGCAATGAATCAAACCACTGGCCCAGAAAGGCCTTTAAATGGAGCCATAATATCAAATTCAGAGTTTCATAGCAGTGTGACTCAGTAATAGCCAAAAGATCAGCAGATGCATGGATAAACCAAACGTGGTAAATCCACACCGTGGAATATTATACAGCATTAAAAAGGAAGGACATTCTGGCACTTGCTATAACATGGATGAACCCTGAAGGCATGATACTAAGTGAAATAAGCTGGTCACAAAAGGACAAATACTGCATGATCACAAGTATTTGAGGTTCCTAGAGTTATTTCTGTTTTGCAAAATGAAAAAGTTCTAGAGACGGGGGTAGTAATGGTTGTACAACAACATGAATGTGCATAACACTACCGAACTGTATACTTAGAAATGGTTAAGATGGTATATTTTATGTTGTCTATATTTTACCACAGCTTTTTAAACATTTAATTAAATGTTTTAAAGTTTCCGAGTCGCGAATAAAGAATCTTGAGTGACTAAGCCTTCTCCTTCTCTGTACATGCAGAGCCGTGTATATACAGCTCTTTTCTGAGAACCATTGATTGTGCCTTTAATTTAGAGTCAATGCAGAGTCACAAATGCACCCGCCCACTTTTCTGCTTCAGAACTTAGCCTAAGCTACCACATCCTCCATTGTAAGGGAGAGAAAGGGCAGTTCTTTGCCCTGTTTGACTAATGGAAAAACCAGAGGTCATGGAGGTTAAGTAACTTGCTCAAGGTTAGGCAGTTCACAGGGGCTGCCCTCAGTTAAAAGTTCCTGGTGGAGCTGTCTCCAGATTTATAGCCCCCCAAAGCATTGAATAAACCTGGGTCAAAACCAACGTGTGTGGGTGGAGAGATTGGAGTGGCATTCCAGGACCGATTTTCCAAAATGAGCTCTAAAATCAGTGCCATGTGGACAAAAGCAATCCAGAAGGACATCACATTTGTTCATTCAAACAGTGTTCATGGCAGGGCACAGTGGCTCAGGCCTGTAACACCAGCGTTTTGGGAGGCCCAGGTGGAAGGATCACTTGAGCTCAGGAGGTCAGCCTGGGCAACATAGGGAGATCCTGTCTGTACAAAAAATGAAAAAGCATTAGCTGGGTATGGTGACTCATGCATGTAGTCCCAGCTACTGGGGAGGCTGAGGTGAGAGGATCGCTTGAGCCCAGGGGGTTGAGGCTACGGTGAGCCATGATCACGTCACTGCACTCCAGCCTGAGCAACAGAGTGAGATCCTGTCTCAAAAACCAAACAAAATGTAAATAGTGTTCATGGAGTTCCTACCGTGGGCTGGGCTCTCTGCAAGACACAGCATCCATGCCTGGGTCCCCACCGAGCTTGGGGCAGGGGAGGAGGCAGGATGCAGGCCTTCAACAACCAGTTGCAAGACAGGGTGGCAGTGCAGAAATGGAGAAAGTGGTGAGCACAAAGGAGAGTTCCAGACCTACCTGGAGAGGTGGAGCCATCAGCTGAGACCCGGACAGGTGGGCACTAGGGCAGGTAGTACGTGGCGCGTGTGCAAAACACCCGGGACACGGAGAGCCTGGTGACTTGCAGAGAACCCTCCCTCTGCTCTCCCACATGCCCTGTTTTTCCTCAACACTGATCATTCCCGTTTTCCTATAAACATGCTATTCTGTCTTCCCTATTTAAAAAAAAAAAACAAAAAAAAAAAAAACTAAGAATTCCGCATCTGTGCCAGCTATCTCCTTTTATTAGCTTCCTGGGGCTGCTGTTACAAAGTACCACGGACTGGATGGCTTAAACAACAGAGACTGACTGTCTCCCAGTTCTGGAGCCTGGGAGTCCAAGATGAAGGCCTTGGCAGTGTCGATTTCTTCTGAGAGTGTGAAGGAGGCTCTAAGCCCTGGCCCCTCTCCTGGCTTCTGGTAGCCTCGGGCGTTCCTTGGCTTGGAGATGGCTGTCATTAACCTGTGTGTCTTCACATCACCTTCCCTCTGTGTGTGTCTGTGTCTGTGTCCAAATTTCCTCCAGTCATATTGGATGAGGGCCCTCCCTAATGACCTCAGCTTCATCATCATCAGAGACCCTATTTCCAAATAGGCTCACATTCACAGGTACTGGGGGTCAGGTCTTCAGCATCCTTTGAGATGGACACAATTTTTCCCATAACACTCTCCATTGCTCTGTTCTCCTTTGTAACAAAAAGCCCTCCAAAGAGTCTTCTAGACTCAGGGGATCAACCACGGGACCCACTGAGCTCACTCTGTGGTCTTCAGGCACCCCTCAAATTTGTATCTCCAGCCTCAACCTCACCCCAGAGCTTCAGACTCATATACCCTCATCCCTTAATTTAGTAAACTCAGAGCAAAGGCCACCAGACATCCTGACTCCACTCTTCCCTTCTCCATCCGCCACCCCTCACTCAGAGAGGATGGCTTAAGCTTCAACACCTGCAACCAGGACTGTGCCTTCTTGCCACCTCCTCACCATCGTCTCTCCCCTGGAGCATGAAAGGAAACTTCTCACTGCTCTCTCTACTACCACCCACGTACTCAGTCCCAACACAGCAGCCAGAAGGTTATTATACCTCCTGGTGTGCACTTAAACCCTCCCATCACATCCCAAATAAGAGTCAAATTCCTTAGTGTGGCCAGCCAGGGCTACCTGGCTACCAGTCAGCCCCTCTGCCTGTCACTCTCCATGTTTCTCACACAGCTCTCACCACCCAGGCCTTCTTATTATTTCTCAATTACTCCAAGCTCATTCCTACCATAGGGCCTTTGCACAGGCTTTTCGCTTTCAGCTATAATGCTCCTTCCCTTTACTGCAGGGGCTAACTTCACTCCATCTCAGCTTCACTCTCATCTCCCCCGGGAGGCCCTCTTAGACCATCTCTCCTAATACTCACCCCTCCCAGATCACTCTCCATCCCTTACCTTGCCTTATTTTCTTCAGTATCACCTACCACTCTATGCAATTAAGTTGTCTATTTATTCAGTTATTACCTGTCATCAGTCTAGAATGTAAGTTCCATGAGGGCAGGAACATGTCTCATTCACGCAGGGTCTTCAATGCCTGTAACTAATGTTTGTTGAAAAATAAGGACTTTGGGCCTGGCATGGTGGCTCGTGCCTGTAATCCCAGGACTTTGGGACACCAAGGTGGGCGGATAACCTGAGGTCAGGAGTTTGAGACCAGCCTGACCAATATGGCAAAACCCTACTAAAAATACAAAAATTAGCCGGGTGTGGTAGCACATGCCTGTAATCCCAGCTATGGCTGAGGCAGGAGAGTCACTTGAACCTGGGAGGCAGAGGTTGCAGTGAGCCAAGATCATGCCATTGCCATCCAGCCTGGGCAACAAGAGTGAAACTCCATCTCAAAGAAAAATAAGGACTTTGTTTCAGGAGCAATGGGGAGACTGTAAGGGTTCAGGGAGAGGAGTGACAACATCAGTGTTTCATTTTGAGAGTTCCCTCTGGTTACTGCATGCAGAAGAGACGAGGCAGGGCCAATACCCAGGCGAGAAGCAGTGCACCAGCCCCTATGGAGGTTCAGGGGTATCTGGTAACCTGGAGAGTCTGAGGATCCCATGGTCTTGAGTTAAATCTCTCTGGGACTTCAGGCAAGTCAGTAAGCCCCTGCACACCTCAGATTCTTCATATGCTAAATAATGTGATATGAATTCCTGCTACAGTTGGCTCTTAGTATACGAGGGGGATTGGTTTCAGCAACCCCATGTATACTCATATCTGCACATACTCAAATTTGCAGTCAGCCCTGCAGAATCTGCAGGTATGAAATGTCCCCCTGCTCTATATGCAGGTTTCACATTCTGTGAAGACTATATTTTCCATCCGCATTTAGTTGGAAAAAATCTGCGTATAAGTAGATTCACATAGTTCAAGCCCATATTGTTCATGGGTCAACTGTATAGAGAGTTGGGGGGCAGGGATTAGAGGAGACTCTGCTTATAAAGCTCTGAGCACATGGCCAGTGTTCAGCCAACATCAGCTATTGTCTTTTTTTTTTTTTTTTTCTGAGATGGGTCTTACTCTGTCACCAGCCTGGAGTGCAGTGGCGTGATCTCGGCTTACTGCAACCTCCGCCTCCTGGGTTCAAACAATTCTTGTGCCTCAACCTCCCAAGTAGCTGGGATTACAGGCACACACCACCACACCCAGCTAATTTTTTTTTCTTTTTTTTTTTAAGACAGAGTCTCACTCTGTTGCCCAGGCTGGAGTGCAGTGGCACGATCTCAGCTCACTGCAACTTCTGCCTCCCGGGTTCAAATAATTCTCCTGCCCCAACCTCCCAAGTAGTTGGGACTACAGGCATGTGCTACCACGCCCGGCTAGTTTTTTGTATTTTTAGTAGAGACAGGGTTTCACCGTATTAGCCAGGATGGTCTCGATCTCCTGACCTTGTGAGCCGCCTGCTTTGGCCTCCCAAAGTGCTGGGATTACAGGCATGAGCCACCATGCCCAGCCAGCTATTATCTTTATTGGAATTGAACAGACATGGAATTTACTGGAGGTGAGGCATGGGAGGAAGTAGGATATGGAGGAAGAAGCCCAAGGTACCAGCCTGAGAACCAGGGTGAAGGGTGCTGCTGTTTATGAAGCTGGGGTGCTGCAGGGCAGGAGCAGGTTCAGGAAGGGAGATGGCCTTGGGTTCCGTTTGGGGCATGTGGAGGTGGGTGCACCTGTGAGACCTCAGGTCCAGAGCTGAGAAGGCTGGGTGGGCAGAAGATGGTGATTTGAAAGTCATATGGGCATAGAAATGGTATTGGAAGCCACAGGGATGATTTGAGGGGTGAATGCAAGATTAAATGAGAAATGTGCCAGGGATAGAGTGCTAAGAACACCCACAATGGCTGGGCGCGGCGGCTCACACCTGTAATCCCAGCACTTTGGGAGGCAGAGGCGGGCAGATCATAAGGTCGGGAGATCGAGACCAGCCTAGCCAACATGGTGAAACCCCGTCTCTACTAAAAATACAAAAATTAGCTGGGTGTGGTGGCGAGTGCCTGTAATCCCAGCTACTTGGGAGGCTGAGGCAGGAGAATCGCTTGAACCCGGGAGGCAGAGCTTGCAGTGAGCCGAGATCACACCACTGTAGTCCAGCCTGGGCAACAGAACGAGACTCCATCTCAAAAAAAAAAAAAAAAAAAAAAGAACACCCACAATTAAAGGAACAAGTTCTCCAACAAAGGATTCTCATAAGTTGTGGCCTGAGGGGAACAGAATAAAAAGCAACAAGGTGTCATGGAACTCAAGGAAAAGGGACCTTCATGAAGATGAAGGGAGAAGTCAGCTGTGCCTGGTGTTGGTTTTTCCTTTCTAGAACTAAAAGCCAGAATGATTGACAAGGCCCCCCAGTGATGGGGACCATGGTCCATTCACTCCCAGCAAACCTTGGGGAAGAGGATGCAGCGTGGAGGTAGCCTGTGGAGGAGGATGGAATCCTGCCTCCTGCCAGGGTCTGTCCCCAGCCATACTGTGGTGGTTTCATTGCAAATCACCAGGTCCTGGGTCTGACACTTTACTTTCCCTGTTCCTGCAGAGTGACGGTCACGCAAGCTGATCTGAACCTCCACTGGCTTCTCAGACTCAAACCAAGCACTTCTCTTCCTGGGATCACGAGTTCTATTCAGAGTGGGCCCTGGAGGCCTTCAAAGCTGGGCCCCAGGTTCTCACGGTGAACTAAACTTTCTCCGCAAACCCCCTTGGCCCCACACCTGGCTTATCTGGCTCCAGCCCTGAGCCACCCAGCACTGTCCCGATGTAAATACGTGTTCAGCAGAGACGCACAAGGACTGGCAAGGATGCCTCATACTAGTTGATCCTAAATCTAAAAGACTATGTTTTTGCTACATTCACTCACATGCATCACACACCTGTAGGCACACATGAACACATACATGCACACACGCACACATTTTCTTCCAGTTTAACTCATGCTACTTAGAGAACCAGCTAGAAGGTGAGCTTTCTCCTAGGCCCTCTCATTACAGATGAGGACACCCAGGCCCCAAGAAGCTCAGCGTTTCACCAACAACCCTTGGCAGTGACGGTGAGTGTGTCATGCTGAACCCCTCTCCCTCTCTCTCACCTCAGTGCTCCTTTTAACTTCCTCTCTTTATTTTATTTCTTGCCAATTCATGCCCTGCCTTCCCTCCAGAACTCAACCCTGAACCTTCTCCCACCGGCACAACCGTCTGTAACCAGCCCCTGCTAACTCCTCAGAACGAGTGGATGCCGGAGAATGTTGACTTCCTCCCAAGAAGAAAGTGAAGGAAGCAGAAACCTCCTGTCAGCCAGATCCCACCAGGACCCCTTCCCACAGACCCACTTGATGCTGCCTCTCACGGCAGCAGGGGAATGCTTGGTGGGGGTGGCTCTGCTTCTCATAGCAAAGAGAGAATTCTTGGAGGGCAGAGGCTGTCCTCAATATATTTTCCACCTGGTCCCCACCCTCTAACCGGTGTTCTGTTAGAAATGCGTGCACCACACATGTCTCTCAGAGGCCAGGCGGGCTTCAGGGCTACCAGGGCACCTGGATGGGCTCCACCCCATGCCCAGAACCTCAAGAGCTCTCTGTCCTGGAGGGAGTCCACTTCCTCCGAACTTCCCAGGAAGCCATCCAGCCCACTGACATCCATCAAAAACAAGCTCCCTGGGCAGGCTGTGCTTGGAGGAAGGATCCTCTAATGTAGCATCATCCCTATGGGGGAGACCTGAAGCAGACTGTTTTCAAAGTAGTTTTTCTATCAAGGCCTGGGCAAAATGCATTCATTAGAAAAATCAGAGGTGGAAGGAAGCTCATGAACTCATCAAGGTAAACAGAATCTGCAGTTGGTTTACAATCGTCTCTCTGATATCCCAGGAAAAATATATCTTACAGTTTATCTTAGGGATGCCATCAGAGAAAGGTATATATGTATAGGTGTGTGTGTGTGTGTGTGTGTGTGTGTGTATGTGTGTGTGTGTGTATATATATATGCATATATATGTGTATATATGTGCATATATATGTGTGTATATATAGGTATATATGTGAATATATAGGTATATATGTATATATAGATATATATGTGTATATATGTATATATAGATATATATGTATATATGTATATATAGATATATATGTATATATGTATATATAGATATATATG
The DNA here is from genome assembly GCF_000001405.40 of Homo sapiens. Taxonomy (NCBI): domain Eukaryota; kingdom Metazoa; phylum Chordata; class Mammalia; order Primates; family Hominidae; genus Homo; species Homo sapiens. The sequence goes on from NC_000001.11 coordinate 234,995,706, forward strand.
TATATATGTATATATAGATATATATGTATATATGTATATATAGGTATATATGTATATATAGATATATATGTATATATATGTATATATAGGTATATATGTATATATAGGTATATATGTATATATAGAGATATATGTATATATAGGTATATATGTATATATAGAGATATATGTATATATAGGTATATATGTATATATAGAGATATATGTATATATAGGTATATATGTATATATAGAGATATATGTATATATAGGTATATATGTATATATAGAGATATATGTATATATAGGTATATGTATATATAGGTATACGTGTATATATAGGTATATGTGTATATATAGGTATATGTGTATATATAGGTATATGTGTATATATAGGTATATGTGTATATATAGGTATATATGTGTATATATAGGTATATGGGTATATATAGGTATATATATGTGTATATAGGTATATGGGTATATATAGGTATATATATATGTATATATGTATATATATACGCACACACATAGATATACACCATATATCTGTGTATTAATCCTGTTTATATATAAATCATATATATGTATATACTATGTGTGTATGTATACATATGCATATATACAAATATACACCTGCTCATATACATATACACGCAAAGGCATATTTATGTGCTGTTTTTTTGTTTTGTGTTGTTTTGAGACGGAGTCTTGCTTTATCGCCCAGGCTGGAGTGCAATGGCGCCATCTCGGCTCAGTTTTTAATAGCAAAACATTGGAAACTTCTTAAATGCCCATCAGTAGGTGACAGTTTAAATCACAGGTCTGCAAGTGGGCCAGTGGGCCAAAACCCAGTCTAGGACCTATTTTGTGAATAAAGTTTTATTGGAACATAGCCACACCTGGTCATTTACGTCTTTGACCAATTTGGAGCTACAATAACAGAGTTGAGTGTTTGCAGCAATGACCATCTGACCCACAAAACCAAAAATATTTACTATCTGGCCATTTACAGGAAAAGTTTGTCGACGCCTAGGTTAAATTATGCTTCCTCTAAATGAAGCTATTAAACGATCCTGTAAGTCTGTAATTATGGCTACGAAAAGCCCATGATCTCTTAAAAAGTAAGAAAATTAGTTGGAAAATGTTAACACAATCCCATTTTTATCAAAGCAAAATGTATTCACCTGAACGTGCATACAAAAATGTGCATTGAAAACTATGTATCTTTCCTCTAGAAAGTTATGGGAGAAGGAAGATAATAGACGGTGTTTTTTCTTCCTTATATTTTCTTTTTGTGTTTGATTTTTAAATAATGAGTACACCTTAAAGTTCTTTTTATTGGGAGAAACAGTTGCTCACTTCCTCCACTCCCTAATAGCTGGTGAAAGGTGTCAGCTTTAGGAAGGGCTGTGTCAGGGAAATATCTTGGCTTCTGGGGTGTTGGGGCAACAAAGGGCCAGGAAAGACAGCCCCTCAGAGGAACAGACCCCAGTGACATCCTTGGGTGGGCCCCCGCCTGAGCAGCAACTTCTTCCAGCTCTGTCTCCCACTACAGCCTCTGCCCTTGGCATGGTCCAGAGCTGCGATGGCGAAAACTCATCACCAAGCATTGCCTCCGCTGCACCCAACCCAGCAGAAAAAGAGTCCAGAGAACATCCTGGTCCTGAGTCAGCCCCTGGCTTCAACCCACAGGACACCACAGGGCGCCACGGGACATGGCACAGCGCCAGATGCCAGGGATCCGAGGAGACAGAGCATGATGTCCAAACATGAATGGCTTATTTTTAGCAAAGTCCAGCCCTCACATCCTGGCCCTGCTCCAGGGTGAGCAACAACATTCCCTCTGACTCAGCTCCGCAAGCTGACTCGGTTTCAGAGGAACAAGGTAGTCTCTCCTTGCTGACGTTAGCGGCAGGCAGTCCTCCCCTTCAGGAAAAATCTGTACAGCAGTTCTGATTCCTTCTGGGACTGTGTGCTGGCTGCTTCCAGAAGAAACATAACTATTCCCTTCACAGTCTGGGCTTCGGAACTGGGTGCAGAAACTTCCACACTCCATCTCCTGGACTCCCATCTTCTAACCTTCCCGTGTGATTTCCAAGGAAACCAGATGGCTGCCTTCTCCCCCCTCTTCCTCTTCCTCCTGCACAATGAGCCGAGAGACCCAACCCTGCAGCTCTGGCCTGAAACTGGGGCCTGTTTCTCGGGGGTTTCTGTCTCTTCAATCAGTCCCCACACTGTGTCCAGCAGACTAGAGCAATGAAGGGAGGAATCATTTTCTTCCAGTAACGACACTAGAACCTATGTTCTGCTGTAATGAATGATACAGGTTTGCCAGGAAGACGTGTCATCAATGCCAATAAAACAAGGCAGAGTACAGATACCTCCAGAGATCTTGCCAGAGAGGCTCACAGCCCCGATAGGTTTGTGTATGTTTTGGGGTGGGGGAACATGAGAGAATGAGAGATTATTTTCCTTCTGGACGTTCTCAACATGCCTGAAATAGCAAGGACACAGCTGTCCCTCCCCAGTTGTCCCTGTGTGATTGGAATTGCAGGAGTCAGTTGTCTCAAAGCAAAGAAAGTGCAGAGCCTGCACGTATCCAGATCTTCCGAAAGACGAGGCCCTGTTCTCCTGGCCTGGCGCCTGGGTTTCTCATTTGCTCCTAGGTCTCTGGTATTGTGCCGCCTGCATCCCAGGCAACGCCAGCAACCCAAGCCCCGCTGAACAAGTCAAGACCTCTCTGGATGAGGTCAGGAGCTGGAGCTTCCCCTTATTTTGTTAGGAAGCACCATGCGTCAGCCTTTATTCACACCCTATAAAGTTGTAGCCTTTAAGGTTAGTCTCTTCCACACCTATAATTCTCCACCAGAGCAATTTGCTGCAGAGAAAGAGCCCTCCAGCAGGCAGTACCTGTGAGTCACGGCTTCTTCCTGGCCCCCGCCCGCCCTAAAGGAGTGGCTACTAACAGGCACCTTTGATCCTCAGGCTGCTCTGGGAGTTGGAAGAGTCGCGGAGGCTCACCTGTAGTCATAAGGTCAAGAGACTTGCCATGAGAAATAGTAACAGTAGCACCGCCTGGATCCCACCCCCGGTCTTCTCCTTTGGGCCTCTGTTCTTCCTCTAGGGGTTGGATCTTTCAGCTCTGCCATCTGCCTTTCATATCATCAGTTCTATTTTTGTTTTGTTTTTGTTTTTGTTTTTGTTTTTGTTTTTGAGATGAAGTCTTGCTCTTTTGCCCAGGCTGGAGTGCAGTGGCGTGATCTCGGCTCACTGCAACCTCTGCCTCCCGGGTTCAAGCAATTCTCCTGCCTTAGCCTCCCAAGTAGTTGGGACTACAGGCACCGCCAGGCTAATTTTTGTATTTTTGGTAGAGATCGGGTTTCACCATGTTGTCCAGGCTGGTCTTGAACTCCTGACCTCAAGTGATCCACCCGCCTCAGCCTCCCAAAGTGCTGGGGTTACAGGCGTGAGCCACCACGCCCAGCTTAGTTCTATTTTTGAGTGAACAACACTCTCCATTGGCAGGGAAAGGTCACCTTGGTATGTGGCCTCGCTTACGGAGTAGAGTTTCTCCAGGGCCTCTCCCAGGGCTGTTCAAATGACCCAGCACAACCCTTCAAGTGACTTCCCCTTCTCTAAGACTCAGTTTCCTTATCTGTCCAATGGTGGAATTGGAGTAAATATTTGCTAAGTTTCCATCCAGCTCTAATGTACTAAAAATCTATGAAAATCTGGATTTTCCCATTTCCAGACAAGCCTGGTACTACTCAACCTTAATCTACAGCCACCAGATGAAACCCGCTGCAGAGCCAACCCTGACACCAGCACCATGAGCTTCAGTTCACAAGCACCATTCTCACTGGAGCCCCACCAGACCTCGATGATGTGGACAGTGCCAGTTACGTGGACAGGCTGAGATGGGCGGATCACTTGACGTCAGGGATTCGAGACCAGCATGGCCAACATGGTGAAACCCTGTCTCTGGAGATGAGAAACACTTTGCCACATGCCAAATAGCAGCACTAATAATGTAGCAGCCCTGGGGCCCGAGCCTGGCCTCCTGACTCCGAGCCTGGTGCCCCACTTAGCAGCCCCACCTCTCCCCATGGGTGTCTACCTGGCTGGAAACGACACTGGCCAAAGGCAGAACCTCAACCTGCAGCCGTCAGTGGGCATTCAAGTGGACCTGCTAGGCTGGACAGAGAGAGCGGGAAAGGCAGGAAGGCCTGTTTCTTCCTCCATTTTGGCTGACACAGGCTCCTTAGCACCCGGCTGTCTGACCACCCTCAGATGAAGCTCTGTTCTCTCCATCCCTTTCCTCCTCCTCAGTCTCAGGGATCAGATGGGTGCGGGGCCCTGTTCTGGGGACACTGAGAGCTGTGCATTCAGGTCAGACGTGCACAGTTTAAAATTCACAGAGGAGGCCGAGTGTGGTGGCTCATGCCTGTAATCTCAGCACTTTGGGAGGCCAAGGCAGGCAGATCACCTGAGGTCAGGAGTTCGAGACCAGCCTGGCCAACATGGTGAAACCCTGTATCTGCTAAAAATACAAAAACTAGCCAGGCGTGGTGGCATGTACCTGTAATCCCAGCTACTTGGGAGGCTGGGGCAGGGGAATTGCTTGAATCCGGGAGGTGGACGGAGGTTGCAGTGAGCCGAGACCATGCCGCGGCACTCCAGCCTGGGTGACAAGAGCAAAACTCTGTCTCAAAACATAAAAAAATAAATAAATAAATAAAATTCAGAGAGGACCCTGGAGTCCCTTTCCCATAATCTCACCCCCACGCAAAAAGGGGCAAAGGAATCGTCATGGTGTAAACCATAGGTTGGGCTTCGACTGGGGACCTCCTCCAGCCCCTCAGCCACGTCAGAGTGGCCAGAACAGGGAGAAGGGAGCATTCTCTCCACCGCCCCCACGAGCCTGCGGTCTACTGAAGGTGACAGGAGATGTTTGGGGCGGGGGAAGGAAGGGAGGTATCTGTGTCTTGTCAGAGTTAGAAATTGCCCAGAACATTAGCAGGCCCCACCTAGCCTTCATCTACAGGCCCTTCGGCTTCTGCTGTGGCTCAAACTCGAAAAGACAACAGCCTTCTCAAAACATTTACATTCCTGCCAGGCAAAGATTCATGTGACTCTGAATCCCGAAGTACACAGGTTTTCATGGGAAGATTAAAAGAGAATTCCGATGATTTCATGACAAAGTAGCCAGTCTTGCCAAATGTCATTTAAAGAAAAAAACAAAAAAGAAGAAGAATCCTTACTTTGCTTGCTTGTATTTTCTTTTCTTTCTGGGATCCTGTATGTATCAGTTTTATAACTTCATTGACAACTTTCAACTGGAATTTAATTAAAAGAAAATAGAGGCCGGACGCGGTGGCTCATGCCTGTAATCCCAGCACTTTGGGGGGCTGAGGCAGGTGGATCACTTGAGGTCTGGAATTCGAGACCAGCCTGGCCAACATGGTGAAACCCTGTCTCTACTAAAAATATGAAAATGAGCCGGGCGTGGTGACCGGCACCTGTAATCTCAGCTATTCAGGAGGCTGAGGCAGAAGAATCGCTTGAACTCAGGAGGCGGAGGTTGCAGTGAGCTGAGATCACACCATTGCACTCCTCAAATTAAAAAAAAAAAAAAGGAAATAGAGAGCAAGGTCAGCCTTGGTCCCCAATTTCTGCAGAAAGTGCAAAAAGAGATCACCAAGGCTTGAAACAGATTTGCAAAATTTGGCAAGGGTCCCAAGATTCGTGAAAGGATATGGTGAGGCCAAACCCACTCAAAGACCTCCAAAGATACTGAGGAAGGTGTTCTCTTGCATGAGCTGGGCTTCAGAAATGTTCTCTCATACTCCAGTGTCTCACACACACACACACACACACACACATACACAAACACACACCAGTGCCCTGCCCCGAGTAAAATTAGTTATTCTCTCCTTCACATGCCAAAGGGACAATCTTCAATGTTTCTACCCATGAAACGCTTTTGCCAGAAGCCTGAATTCATACAAAGCATATTCATCTAGACTGAATTTTTTAATATGGTGTATATATATATATTCATACACAATGGGATACTATTCAGTCATAAAAAAGAATGAAATCCTTCATTTGCAGCAACATGGGTGGAACTGCAGTCCATTTTATGAAATAAGCCAAGCACAGAAAGACAAATATTGTGTGACCTCACTTCTATGTGGGAGCTAAAAAAAAGTTGGTCTCGTGGAGGGAGAGAGTAGAATGATAGAGACCGGAGGCTAGGAAAGGTAGGAGAAGGGATGAAGAGAGCCTGGTTAGTGGATACAAACATACAGTTAGATAGAAGGAATAAGTTTCAGTGTTTGATAGCACAGTGGGGTGACTATAGTTAACAATAATATATTGTATATTTCAAAATAGCTAGAAGATTTGAAATGTTCCCAACACAAATAAATGATAAATGTTCAAGGTGATGGGTACCCTACATACGACAATTTGATCACTACACATTGTATGCTTGTATCCAAATATCACATTTACCCCATAAATATGTATAAGTATTCTGTATCCATAAAAAATGCAAAACTAGGCCGGGCATGGTGGCTCATGCTTGTAATCCCAGCACTTTGGGAGGCCTAGATGGGCGGATCACCTGAGGTCAGGAGTTCGAGACCAGCCTGACCAACATGGTGAAACCCCATCTCTACTAAAAATATGAAGTTAGCCGGACGTGGCGGCGCATGCTTGTAATCCCAGCTACTCGGGAGGCTGAGGCAGGAGAATCACTTGAACCCAGGAGGTAGAGGTTGCCGTGAGCTGAGATCATGCCATTGCACTCCAGCCTGGGCAACAAGAGCAAAACTCCATCTCAAAAAAAAAAAAAGCAAAACTGAAAAAAAAGTATCTTCAGCTATTCACAGTTAGACCCATGTTGGAAAATTTGAGTCAAAATAAAGCATGTACATTCAATATATGTGTGCACATTAATGAGAACAATGTTTTTGTACTGTTGGCCCTGACCTTGGAATATTATTAGAATGTTTTTTAAGGAGAGGGGAGATCTCTATTTGGGTTTCGATTATTGTTCAACACTGATGTTACAATGATAGCGGCTGTGGTGAGTCTCCCTGACTGATGGGACAATGAGGCACAGAGAAAGCCGGGGCAGACAGTGGGAGTGGGATGGGGAGAGTGAGATCCCCACAGCAACCACAGCACATGGCAGCACACAGACTCCACCACCCTAGAGCTGGAGTCGGGATTCAGTGGACTGGAGTACAGTGGCACGATCTTGGCTCACTGCAACCTCCACCTCCTGGGTTCAAGCGATTCTCCTGCCTCAGCCTCCCCAGTAGCTGGGATTACAGGCGCCCCGCCCGCCACCATGCTTGGCTAATGGTATGTGAGAAAATGTAAATCCAGAGTCCTGAGTCATCAATCCTGAATTAGAATACACCACCTGTACTTCTCAAGACCTACCAGGAATTTGCATTTGTTCCATCTACTAGCATAAAATACAAATCGCTGAGGGGTCCTTAGAAGGAGCATCTGAGTCCATTTTCTGTTGCTTATGACAGAATATCTAAAACTGGGTAATTTATAAAGAAAAGGAATTTGAGCCAATCACAGTGGTTCATGCCTATAATCCCAACACTTTAGGAGGCCAAGGCCTGAGGAACACTTGAGGCCAGGAATCCAAGACCAGCCTTGGCAACATAGGGAGACCCCATCTCTATGAAAAAAGTAAAAAATTAAAAAAATTAGCTGGGCGTGGTGGTGCACACCTGTCGTCCCAGCTACTCAGGAAGCTAAGGTGGGGAGAACACCTTTAGCCCAAGACATTGAGGCTGCAGTGAGACATGACCACACCACTGCAGCCCAGCCTGGGTGACAGAGCAAAACCTGTCTCAAAAAAAAAAAAAAGAAAAAAAGAAAAGAAATGTATTTCTTACAGTTATGGAGACTGAGAAGTCCAAGGTCAAGGGTCTACATCTAGTGAGAGCCTTCTTGCTGTTGGGGACTCTGCAGAGTCCCAGGGCAGTGCAGGGCATCACATGGACAGGGGGCTGAGTGTGTTAGTGTACTCAGGTCTCTCTTCCTCTTCTTATAAAGCCACCAGTTCCACTCCCATGATCACCCATTAATCTGTTAATCCACAAATGGATGAATCCATTCATGAGGACAGAGATATCATGGCCCAATCACCTCTTAAAGGCCCCCTCTCCATACTGCCACTTCAAGGATTAAATTTCAACATGAAAGGGGAAAAGCATTCAAATCATAGCAGGGAGGTATCTCTAAATAGATCTAAGAGGGCTCAAGACACAGGGATGAAGAGCTTTGAAAGCTATAGTCTTATTCCACTAATGGTGCTATCGTCCTGGCAGTTTTGAGATTGCCCATGGGGACAGTTTATTGACTATTCTTGATGATTAAATAAATAATAACTACTTATTCTTTCATGGTGGATATGATTTGTGGAGGCAACCAAGAGAAGACAGTAGAGTATAGAGGTGAAGAACTTGGATTCTTTTGGAGCAGTGGTTGGTGTCACTGGAATAAAGTCTCCCAAGGGACTGCTGTAGTCTACACATGGCAATATCACTGCTATGGCTTGAATATTTGTCCCCTCCAAAATTCATGTGGAAATTTAACTACCATTGTAACAGTATTAAGAGGTAGGATCTTTAAGAAGGGATTAGGCCGTGAAGGCTCTATTCCCACATGTAGGATTAATGCCATTATAAAGGATGAGCCTATCCTCCTTTTCTCTCTTTGCCCTTCTGCCTTGGGCCATGTGAGGACAAGGCATTGCTCCCCTCTGGAGGATGCAGTGTTTAAGGCACCATCCCGAAATCTGCCACTCCTTGACATTGGACTTCCCAGCCTTCAGAACTGTGAGCAAATTAACTTCTGTTTTTTATAAATTACCAGTCTGTGATATTCTAACAGCAAAAAATCAACTGAGATAATCACTTCCTCTCATGTTACCTTGGTGAAAACCAGCCCATGGTTCCACTAGATAGAGGGACTAGCCATGTACCAGAAAAGAAGATGAAAGCAAGTATTGAGAAGCACAACCCAAGGAATGGATCACTCCGGCCCTGTCCAGGACTCATCCTCCCAATGGAATCAACGGCAGGGAAGCATGGTGACCCTTTTAAAACAAATATGTCTACATTGGTAACCTATCAAATCAGTGAGAAAACAGGTCTGTGGTATCCCAGATGTCTCAAGTGTGCAGGCTTAGGTTTAGCTATTTATCCAAACACCAAACCCCCAAACACCAAACCCTCCGTTGAGTCTGCCCAAAATTCCACTCAGGATGCTCAAAAATTCTGCTCATGTGGTTCTAGGCCACTGCCCCCTTACCCACCCCAGATTGTCCCATGGTCCTGCTTTGGTAATTGCTATAATGCAATCTGCTTTTCTTCCAGGTGTGTGCAACCTATATTATGTATCTGTGATGCAAATCATGCAAAGAACCAGGTGGCTACTTTCCATTTTATCTCATGCTCTCAGCTGATATTAAACAGACCTATCTGATTTTCTTTGTCTGCATACTTTCAGTTCTGTTTTTGGTGCTTACCTATTATTACTTTTATATTTCATGCTTCATGTTACCACTCATCAATTTGCTCTCCTATCTTATGTCTATAAAATATCTCCAGATATGTAATAAGGAAGCAATACATGAGTGGCCTCCGGGGAATGGAACTCGGTGGATATAGGACTGTCTAGAAGGGAGATTTGAGGACATTTTAAATGTTGAACTACATGAGCAAATACTTAATCAAAAATACTTTTTTTTTTTTTTTGAGACAGAGTCTCCCTCTGTTGCCCAGGCTGGAGTGCAGTGGTACGATCTCAGCTCACTGCATCCTTCGCCTCCCGGGTTCAAGCGATTCTCCCGCCTCAGCCTCCCAAGTAGCTGGGATTACAGGCACCCGCCACTAAGCTTGGCTAATTTTTGTATTTTTAGCAGAGATGGGGTTTTACCACATTGGCCAGGCTGGTCTCAAACTCCTGATCTCAGGCGATCCACCTGCCTCAGCTTCCTAAAGTGCTGGGATTACAGGCATGAGCCACCACACCCGGCCTCAAAAATACTTTTGAAACAATAATAATGAAATTAATAATGTTCATTGTTGTGATAAGTCTAGCAAGGAGATCTTATTGGTAAGGAGAATGGGGAAAGAGGAACTATCTGTGACCTGAAATAGAATCCCAGAGAGAAAAAGAGAGTTGCTTAAAGAACATATTTAAAAACATTTGTGGTATGATATGGAATGTGACCACCTTCCTCCCACCTCCACCAAGAAATATTCAGGAAAAGCTACAAAACCCATCAACGCTTTGGGAGTAAAGGATGTGGAGAAATTGGAACTTTCATGCACCGTGGGTGGAAATGGAAGATGGCGCAGCCGCTATGAAAAACAGCATGAAGCTTCCTTAAAAAAATTAAAGATAGAATTCCTATATGATCTTAAAATTTCACTTCTGGGGCTATACCCAAAAGAACTGAAAGCAGGGTCTCAAAGAGGTATTTGTGCACCCATGTTTACCATAGCAGCATTATTCACAATAGCCAAAAGGTAGAAGCAACTCAAGTGTCTATTGTCAGAGGAATGAATAAACAAGATGTGGTCTATCCATGCAATGGAATATTATTCAGCCTTGAAAAGGAAGGAAATTCTCACACATGCTATAATGTGAATGAACCTTGAGGACATTATGCTGAGTGAAATAAGCCAGTCACAAAAGAACAAATGCTGTATGATCCCACTTACATGCGGCATTGAGAATAGTCAAATGCATAGAAGCAGAAAGTAGAAGAGTGGTAGGGGGTGGCTGGTGTGAGGGTGGGGAAAGAATGGGGAGTTAATGTTTCCTGGGTATAGTTTCAGTTTTGCAAGATGAAAAGTTGTGGGGATGGATGGTGGTGATGGTTGCAGAACAATGTGAATGCACTTAACCCTACTGAGCTTGCACACTTAGAAATGGTTGCAGTGGTAAATTTTATGTTATGTGTGTTTACTACAGTTTAATTTTTTAATTTAAAAAATACTTTATATGCTGTGTGGTGTGTGTGTTTGTCTGTGTGTGTGTGTGAGAGAGAGAGACAGATGTTGGGTTGCTTGGGGGTGGGGGCATTGGTGGGTGATAATGTATTAAGCCTAGATGCAAAGCAAGGGCAAGATGACCTGTAACATCCGTGTGACATCTCTAAGGCAATCCTTTGGCAAATGACGAGCATTGCTCAGGTAGTTTATTTGGCTCCAAAAGTATCTTGAACCTCCTCCAGCAGTGCTGCCAACTCCTGGCACCCAGCATGGTGTTGTGTGCTTCTTAGTTGATAGAAAAAATCGCCTCCCTTGGAGGATATATAGTGTGGCTTCTGACATCTTCCTTGTTTGTCTTGGAGTGAGATTTCCCTTCCTTCCCTTCCCACATCTGCTCAGTCATTCAGCCAGTAACTATTCGTCCGTGCACACCATGGGCCAGGCTCTGTGCTAGACACAGGGGATTGAGAGGTGAACACAGCAGTTGCTGCCTGCAGGAGGCTCCCAGTCCAGCAGGAAAGACAGACAAGCAGACAAGCACCTGCCACAAAGCAGGAGGCACATGATGATGGATGGCACCAGGAGCTAAGGGGACATGGGGCATTGCAACAACCCATGTCCAGAGTCATCTGAAGGGCATGGAGAGTGTCCCCAGAAGTGGGACACTCACAGTCCAGCTGAGATCTGAGCTCCTATGGAAAATTCAGAGTTATTCCTGAAAAAATGAAATAAAATAAAATAAAATAAAAAAGCCAAACCTTAGAGGGGAGATTAGGGAATAAGAATACAGAGGTGCAGCTACTCAGAGAACAGCACTGTGGGGTCTAGAAGAGATCCAAGAGAGGACATGGTGTCTTTAAGGAACAAAGAGAAAATAGTAGCACTAAAGCACGGAGCACCAGGGGGACTGTGCTGAGGCAGGCAGTCCCCAGGCACTGAGGGTCTTAGCATCTGTTTAGGAGCAGCCGGTCACCATGCCAGGGACAGTGGGAAACATTTGAAAGTACTCAAACAAAGGAGCACCCTAAGGCCATTTGCAATTCTAAATGAACAACGGAACTGCACCTTGAGTTGGAGGAGTGTGAGGCCGGTGTGGATGTTGGGACATCTGTGTATTAGTTCCATGTGGCTGCTGTCACAAATTACTACAAACTTGGTAGCTTAAAAAAACAGAAATTTATTACTTCACAGTCCAGGAGGACAGAAGTTGGAAATTTGTTTCACTGGGTTCAAATCAAGGTGTTGACAGGGCCAAGCTCCCTCCAGAGGCTCTAGCGGAGCTCTCTGTGGCTTCTGGTAGCTGCAGGCATTCATTGGCTTGTGGCCGCATCCCTCCAATCTCCACCTCCATCTTCATTATCACCTTTACTGTGTGTCCCATCTCCTGCTGCCTCTTCCTTGTAAGGACACTTGTGATGGTATTTAGGACCCACCTGAATAATCCAGGATAATTTTCTCATCTCAAAATCTTCATTTAAACCCTTGTACACTGTTGGTGGGAATGTAAGAAGGTACAGTCACTATGTAAAACAGTATGACAGTTTCCCAAAAAAATTAAACATAGAATTACCATATGGTCCAGCAATTCCTCTCCTGGGTATAGGCCCCAAAGAACTGAAAGCAGAATCTAAGGAGATATGTGTACACCCATGTTCACAGCAGCACTATTCACAATAGCTACAAAGTGAAAGTAATGCAATGTCCATCAAAGGATGAATAAACAAATGTGCTATATACACACAATGGCATATGATTCAGCCTTCAAAAGGAAGGAAATTCTCTCATACACTACAGAAATAAGCCAGTCACAAAAGGGCAAAGACTATATGAGTCTACCTTTGTATTTCATTTTATTTTTGAGACAGGGTCTTGTTCTGTCACCCAGGCTGGAGCACAATGGTGTGATCCTAGCTCATTGCAGCCTCTGACTCCTGGGCTCAAGTGATTCTCCCACGTCAGCCTCCCCAGTAGCTGGGACCACAGGTGTGCACCACCACACCTGGTATATTAGTCCGTTTTCACACTGCCAATAAAGACATACCTGAGACTGGGCAATTTACAAAAGAAAGAGGTTTAATGGACTCACAGTTCCACAAGGCTGGAGAGGCTTCACAATCATAGCAGAAGGCAAAGAGGAGCAAGTCACATCTTACGTGGATGGTGGCAGGCAAAGAGAGAATCTGTTCAGGGAAACTCCCATGTTTAAAACCATCAGATGTCGTGAGACTTACTCACTATCCCAAGAACAGCATGGAAAAGACCTGCCTCCATGATTCAATTACTTCCCACCGGGTTCCTCACATGACACTTAGGAATTGTGGGAGTTACAATTCGAGGTGAAATTTGGGTGGGGACACAGCCAAACCATATCACCTGGCTAATTTTTAAATCTTTGGTAGAGACAAAGTCTGACTAGCTGCCCAGGCTGGTCTCGAACTCGTGGGCTCAAATGATCCTCCCGCCGCAGCCTCCCAAAGTACTGAGATTACAGGAGTGAGCCACTGTGCCGGGCCTCATTCCACCTAATATGAGGTATCTAGAGTACTCAAATGCATAGAGAGAGAAAGTGGAAGAGTCGTTGCCAGGGGCTGAGGAGAGAGAGAAATAGAAGTTATTAATGGGTACAAAGTTTCAGTTCTGCAAGACAAAAAGAGCTCTAGAGATGGACGGTGGTGATGGTCACACAACATAGGAATATACTTAATGCCACTGAACTCTGCACTTAGATGAATAAACTGGTCAAGTCTATGTTATATATTTATCACAATTTTATAATTTTTTTTGAATTCCTTAACTTAATCATATTGGCAAAAACTTTCCCACGTAGCGTAACATTCACTGTTTTCCGGCGATTGGCACTTGATATCTTTGGGGCCACTATTCAGATGGCTACAGTCACTTAGGAGACTACTGCAGTGGTCCAGAGAAGAAGTGATGGAGGCATGAACTAGACCAGAGGCAGTGGGGATTCTAGAGCTGCCAAGGAGGCACTGCTGGTGGGAGCTGGGAACCGGGCAGGAAGAGTGATGCCTGGCACCCTGGTTTCTGGCTGGGGCAACTTGCAGAAACTCTCAGGAATGCTGAGAGAAGAGCAGATGGAGGGTGGGATCAAAGGGAAGACTGGTGTTGGGGAAGAGGTTGAGATGAGTTTTAGACACATTTGCAGGTGTCGACCAAAAGCTGGGCCACTGAGCAGAGACCTGCCTACATCTTGAGGCCCACACAAAGGTCTTGTCCCAAATAGGGGAGCCATGGCAGAGCAGGGATGCTATGGAGGGAGGAGGCAGCCACAGGCAGGGCTTGGGGATAGTCTGGAAAACAGAGAATGAGAGGAGTCAGGGCAAAGAGGCGAGGTCTGTGGAGGTGCCGCAGGAAGGCGTTGGGCGCTGGCTGCAACTGAGAGCTGGGAGCTCAGGAAGGCTCAGGTGGCTGGACCCGGCCAGGGGGCAGACGCGGAATAACAATGGCCTTCCGTGAGGGCAAGGCCATCTGTAGCAAAATGTCCACCCTCCATGCCAAGCCTCCCACCCAAACATCCCTTCTGATTTCCCATGCTATGAGGGCCTGAGCACCGGAGCCCTTGGAGAGAAGATCCATCGGAGGCGGAAAGGTGGGGGGACCCACGTGGCTCAGGTTAAACTTACACCTGGCTTTGCATGGAGAAGTCTTGGCAAACTTCTGAACAACAAATCAAGTTACAGATGGCTGAAACAAACGGTAGTTTCCCAGGAGCCGCTGAGACCATCAGCAGGAGGCCTGTAGACTTTCATCCAAGTCAGACTCAACCATATCTTTCTTTTTCCAATTTTTTAAAAATTGTAGTAAGTAAAATACACATAACAGAAAATTTACCATCTTAACCTTTTTTTTTTGAGACAGCGTCTCACTCTGTCACCCAGGCTGGAGTTCAGTGGTGCGATCTCAGCTCACTGCAAACTCCGTCTCTGGGTTTCAAGTGATTCTCCTGCCTCAGCCTCCCGAGTAGCTGGGATTACAGGTGCCCGCCACCATGCCTGGCTAATTTTTGTATTTTTAGTAGAGACAGGGTTTCACCATGTTAGCCAGACTGGTCTCAAAACTCCTGACCTCAAGTGATCAGCCCGCCTCCGCCACCCAAAGTGCTGGGATTACACGTGTCAGCCACCGTGCCTGGCCTCCATCGTAACCATTTTTAAGCACGTTGTTCAGTGGTGTGACATGCATTCCCACTGCTATACAGCCATCGCCGCTAACCATCTCCAGGCACTTTCATCTTGTAAAATTGAAACTCTGCACCCATTCAACAATAACTCCCCACGTCCCATTCCCCTCAACTATATCTTTTTAAAGTGCTTTTCCCAGTGAAGTTTCTAACATTGCTAAAGAACATAAAATATAAAAACATGGCCATGCAGCAGGGGCTTTTTACCCTGCAGAATGCCCACTAAACCGTTTCTGTATGTTTAATTTTTTTAACCAAGGAAGTAGGGGATGCCCAAGATTTGGTCCCCAAACCAGAAAGACTGTGGGTTCCTTGCATCAAGCCGGGGCTTTTAGTCAACTCTCCCATGGGGACTCTGTTGGCCCGCTCCACCTCGGGTGTTCCCCCGCCCCTGCCTTTTCCTCTCTCACCTCCCCCATCCACCCCTCTCAGCCTTGCAGTCGACCTGCCTCTCCTCTGGTTGCTCCGTTTGTAGGGAGGGTCTGCTTGAAGGGAGTTCCCATTCTCTCTCACCCAGAGTCAAGGCTCTTGACTCTATTGTACCTAAAAAGCTCCTGAGGAATTTGACAAGGCCCCACCCTCAGAGATATGGGGTGAAGCCCAGGAATCTGTATTTTTAACAAGCATCCCAGGTGATCCTGATACTTGCACACACCCCCACACACACCCACGCCGACTACCCACACACTTCCATGGCCCAGAAGTCTGCAGGACCCACAGCAGGTATTCGGGACTATTTGTTCAATCCACACCTGAGTCGTTGCACGATTATGCTCAAGTCCCTCGGAACACCTCGCCTGCCATCTGACAGCTTCCCATCCAGAAACCACACAGTACAGTAAAAAACAGAAAAAAGAAAGCCGTTAGACCCCAGTGAATGTTATTTTTAATGAAAGTGGTGCATTTTGACTCACAATGTTGAAACCAGATTATAAATGAGTCATCAGTGAATCGACCACAAAGAGCCTTTGCGGAGGTGATTTACAGGAGAGCTCTGATGTCTGCTGTCCCCTGCACACGCTTCACAGAGATGCTGTCAGACGCAGAGCTGGTCTGGGGCATCTGTTGCCGCGTCAGCTCAAAAGGATGCTGTGTTGTCACCAATGGGATTCCCCAGCCCAGGCGGTGTTGCGGTCCCACCCACACAAGGAAGGCGGCCATCACTGAATAATGCTTGTGGTTACATCATCATTGCTGGTTTCCAGGTAGTGACTAGCAGATACTGGAGAGAGACAGGCCATCTGCTCTTCCTGTGCGCCTCAGCTCCTCCCTCATACCCACATCCTCTCGCCTGGTCTTCTAGAAGCAGCCCCTATGCAGACAGACCAGCAGGACTGAAAGCTGGACAGACTCGAGCCGGAGAGCCAGGTGGAACAACCTGGCCAGAAAGAGTCTGGCCGCAAAGAGTCTGGCCACAGCCCCACTTTCCTCATCTCTAAAATGTCCACATGGCTGCCTGCCCTGCCCGGCTCAAGGGAATGTTGCAAGGCTCTCATGGAAACCATGCTTGTGAGGGTTTTGAGGACTATCATAGCCCGTCCCAAGGTCAGAGGACAGTAGAAAACAAAAAACTTGCTTTCAGAGGGTGCTTTCACCAGTCAGCAGCCTCTGCCCCGGGCAAAGCCAGACAACTAAAACGGAATGAATCCGCAGAGTAGGGTGGGGATGAAATTCTCCACCTCCAACCCAGAAAGGAAACGCCAATGCTCATGTTTCCCCTTAGAGAAACAGGCAATGTTTGAACAGGAACAACGACGCCAGAGGGTCAATCCACACACAGAACACTCCATCTCCATGCCGATGGGGGACTGACTGTCCTGCTGCTGAACTGCACCCCTGGGGCTCTCCAGGACACTCCACTGGTGGCCACACTCAGGAAAATAAAGAAAAACCTTCAAAAGGACCCTTCTGGCCATTCAGAGAATGCACAGGCCTGCTAGCTCCTGCTTGCCTGCTCAGAGCTGCCTCCACTGGGGCAGGAATCTGCAGCCAAGAAAATCCCTGACAACCCCAGGGACAGAAGGGTCAGTCTGGGGGACCATCGACCAACCCAGCAACCCAGATTAGACTGCTCCACCAGGAACTCTGTGTCCAGAGAGCAGGATCTGCCACAAGCAAAACTAGGCCTCATTTACTATTCCACAATAGCAACTAGAAAGCATGTGACCCAGAAAACCTTCAAAGAAGGCCAGAAATTCATTAAATCTGAAAAGAAGGGAAGAAGGGCGGGGGAGAGGAAAACACTGCTTAGCAAAGCCAACTGAATCCCTCTTCCATACATCACAGATGCAGGACCAGTCTCAGCATTCAAGAGGAAGAGAAAAATGAAAACAAAAACCAATCTGGAGTTGAATGTCAGCCTTCCCCTCACTGGTTCTGGGTCCTTTGGAAGGCCATATTGTCCCCGGACCTCTCTTGCTTCAGTGGCCTTCCTGCCAGGATTGCCATAAGGATTAAATGGACTCATATATGTGTTGTACCTATACAGTACCTGCAACACAGTAAATATCCAATAAATGTTGGTTTCTTGCTACAAGAAATTGTAAAATATGGGCACAAATTCCTCCTACTTTGTTAAGCACATCCCTTGGCAATGACTTAGCTGCTACTCCCATCAAGAGTTGTGGTCTATGTCCCTACCCCTTGAATCTGGGCTAGCCTGGGACTTGCCTCAACCAGTAGAATTTAACAAAAGTTACAGTGTGTGACTTCCAAGGCTAGCCCTTGCCGCTTCCACTTTTGCCCTCTTGGAATGTGGCCCAGAGACAACCATCTAAGGAAGCTGATCTAGGCCACTGGAAGAGGGGTGGGCAGATGGAGAAGTGATGTCCCCCAACCAGCTGCCAGTCACATGAGAGAGGCCATCTCAGATCTTCCGGCCCAGCTGAGCATTCAACTAAATGCAGTCACATTAGTGAGCCCAAGCAAAACCGGCAGAACTGTCCAGACAACTCATAAAATCAGGAAAACAATCAATTCTTGTTTTTTTTGTTTGTGTTTTGAGATGGAGTCTCTGTTGTAAGGCTGGAGTACAGTGGTGCTGTCTTGGCTCACTGCAACCTCTGCCTCCTGGGCTCAAGCGATTCTCCTGCCTCAGCCTCCTGAGTAGCTGGGACTACAGGTGCCCGCCACCACGCTCGGCTAATTTTTTATATTTTTAGTAGAGATGGGGTTTCATCATGTTGGCAAGTATGGTCTCAATCGCTTGACCTCGTGATCCACCCACCTCGGCCTCCCAAAGTGCTGGGATTGCATTGTTGTTTTAAGTCACTAAGACTTGCGATGATTTAGTATGCAGCAAATTCTTACTGAAATAACTTTCTTATTTCCACCTCTAAAACATCTTCTCCCTTGGGCATTCTTGGGTTTCCCTTAGCCACACCACGTCTGGTAGATTATTCGATGAAAAACTAAGAGTTTATGGGGACCAGGAACTATGGTTTTCACAGTCATCAAGTCATTTTTATGCCCACATGTTACGATAATTAATCAATCAAACAATGAAGCAGCATCTGCCAACCCAGGTTCATAATTAGCAAATCTGCCTATTCTACCTTTAAAATAGATGACAAATTCAATGACTTATCTCCAATTCCACTACAGTCTCTTACCTGGATTATTGTGTTACCCTCCTAATTGGTCTCCCCCTTCTATTTATGTCTCTCTACACGTTGCTCTTCTCCACAATGAAACCAAAAAGATTTTTGAAATATATTCACTCATGCATTCACTTCTTCAACAAAAATTTAATTTTTGGCCCAAAATACCTTCCTCTGTGGAATTTACATTCTAGTTGACGTTTGAGAAATTAATAAGTAAGTTAATCAATAAAATATATGATGTGATACACTCAGCAAAAAATAAGGCAGGAAATGAGGAGGCATGGATAGATGGTGTTGGGAGGGATAGCAGTTGTGAATAAGGCAACCAGGGAAGGTTTCAATGAGAAGGTGACACTTAAAGACCAATGGAATGGCAAGTGTAAGCACCCTGAGACAGAACCATTCCTGGCATACTGCAGAAATAGCAAGGAGGCTAGTGTGGCTATGCAGAATAACCAAGGGAGGCGCGCCACTGCACTCCAGCCTGGGTGACAGATTTAGACCCTGTCTCAATAAATAAGTAAATAAGCAAAGGGGAGACTTAGGATGAAATGAGTTCAGAGAAGTAATAGGGAAGGGAGGTGGAGAAAGTCAGATTACACACCACCTTGTAAACCAATGTAAAGACTTAAGCTTTTGCTCTAGTGGTATGCAGAGCCATTAAAGCATTTTCCCCAGAGGAGTTACATGATTTGATGATGTATATTTTAATAGTACCACTCTAGATAATGTATTGAATACAGACTGAGGAATATTCTGAGATGATGCCTATCACATAACTTTTTAATGTCCCCAAATACTAACATAAAAATAGGTAGTACAGCCGGGCGTGGTGGCTCAGGCCTGTAATCCCAGCACTTTGGGGGGCCAAGGCAGATGGAATCACTTGAGATCAGGAGTTTGAGACCAGCCTGGCCAAGAAGGTGAGACTCTGTTTCTACTAAAAACACAAAAATTAGCCGGGCATGGTGGTGCATGCCTGTAATCCCAGCCACTCAGTAGGCTGAGGCAGGAGAATTGCTTGAACCTGCAAGGTCAAGGTTGCAGTGAGCTGAGATTGTGCTACTGCACTCCAGCCTGGGCAACAAAATGAGACTCTGTCTCAAAAGAAAAAAAAAAAGGTTAATACAAGTATTAGAGAAGAGCAAAACCAAAAATCCATTTGCCATATTTGTCACAAAACTACCTAACAAAGTATCCCCATGGTTTCCAAAATACAAGTGGGTGGGGTGAAACCACCAACAGATCCCAGCTCTGAGTAGAATTACCATCTGTACAAAAGGAAGCAAAGGCGGAGTCGGTGCATGTGACAGACCTGAGAATCCCCAAATACCCAAGAGGACTCAGTGGAAAGCTGAGAGTCAATTTGAGAACAAGAGCTGAAACGGGAAGGGTTTTGCCCACTCATATACTGGGTGAGTTCAAGGAGTCAGCAGTAAAGGTCTGAAAAGGCTAGAACTGTCTGAGAAAGTCCCATAAATTCTAAAAACTAACCAACCAAAACTCCTTCTGTGACAAAGCCTCACACTGAGAAGAAACTTCTAGGAATAGGACCCAATTTGAGCAACACATGGGGCAAGAGAGACAAAAGAAAGAGACAAAGGAAAGGGTAAAAAGGGGGTAAGAGGAACACAGAGCCTAGAGACCTCAAAAAGTGAGCCACCACATTCCTAAACACTGTGAAAACAACAGAAGAGAGAACTTTAGAGCAGTGAGGCTTAAAAAAAAAAAAAAAAAAAAAAAAAAAAAAAAAAGCCAAGTAGCTCTGTATCTTCTAGAGATTCACAGAAACTAGTTTATATTAAAATTTTCAATAGAAAACTATTAAAGGCCAGGCACGGTGGCTCACACCTGTAATCCCAGCACTTTGGGAGGCCAAGGCAGGTGAATCATTTGAGGTCAGGAGTTCAACATCAGCCTGGCCAACATGGTGAAACTTCATCTCTACTAAAAATAAAAAAATTAGCTGGGTGTGATGGTGTGTGCCTGTAATTCCAGCTACTCAGGAGGCTGAGGCAGGAGAATTGCTTGAAACTGGGAGCTGGAGATTAAAATGAGCTGAGATCATGCCACTGCACTCCAGCCTGGGCAACAGAGCAAGACTTTGTCTCAAAAGAAAGAAAACTATTAAAGTCAAATAATATATAGTTATTTAGGAAAAAAAGATAAAAGTTACAGAATCACATCCCCACAGCCATAAAACAGATCATAAAGACATGCCTACAAAATGAATGAAATCCACAGCTTATTTCAAAACAAGCTAAAAGATCAACATAAATTAGAGCAAGAAAAACTCAGAAGTAAAATGATAAAATTCAGGGAAGTATTAGGAATTTTTTAAATCACATTAGAAATTATTTTTAAATTAAAAAGAAGGCAAGAGGGCATAAATCCAGTGGATAATTCCTTAAGAGAAATAGAAAGTATAAAGTAAAAAAAAAAAGTTATATTAAAATAAATGAAGAAAGAATCAAGAGGGACTTGAGAGAAATTAACAAATACAGAAGACAGACAAAGAAGATTCAACATTTGTGTAAAAGGAATCCCCAAAAGAGAAAACCAAAGTGAGGAAAAGAACACAAACTAAAAACTACAATGGAGTGGGAGAATTTTTCTGAAATTAGTTTCTAAAGATTTGAGACTACATAAAGTCAGAATCACCCCAATACAAGCAACACCAAAATACATTCTAATAACATTTTTAGACTTTAAAGAAAAATATAAAATCCCTTGGACATCCAGGAACGAAGAGCACACTGCTTAGAAGGGAGAGAAAGTCAGGTCATCCTCGAACTTCTCAACAGCCACACTTTGTGCCAGGAGAACAGATGGAAAGAGGGTGAGGATGGAAGCAGGGAGAACTGACAGGAGGCAGAGCCAACTGGACTTTCTGGTCGATCAAACACGGGATGTCAGAATACCTGAGCAGCTAGGATGAAGTTTCCATTGATGCTATTGGGTAGACTGTGGGAGGCAGTGGTTTGGGAGCCAAGAATAAGCTAGTAGTTTGTGCATACTATGTTTTAAATGTCTACTAATAATCCATATGGAGAGCTGAGTAAGCAGCTATACAAAGCATCTGGCATTTGAAGCTGAGGTCTGGGTTAGAAATATATATTTGGAAAAGATCAGCATATGGAACCTGGGTAAAATCAATGAGGGAGTGAGTGAGGAGAATACACCCCTATTCAAAACTTCACATTGGCTTTTAACAAAATACAAATCTTTTATCTTGACCAATAAAGCCTTACATGTGGCTCCCTCTCACACCTCATCTCCTGTCACTCTCCACCTCACTCCAGGAGCTCTAGGCACATAGGCCACCTTGCTATCTCTGAGTAACTTCACTTCCATCTCAGAGTGTTTACATTTGCTCTTCCCTATGACCAGGACATGTTCCCTCAGATGTTTGCATGCCTGCATGCTGACATCGTTCAACTCTCTGCATAAATGTCAGCTCCTCAGAGAAGTCTTCTGGTACCCTATCCAAAATATCTGCCCCCAATCCCAAACCCACCGCTGTCACTCTCTAACCCCTTAATCTGCTTTATTTTTCCATTATTCACAGGTTCCTTTTTCAGTTTCTATTGCTGCAAAACAAATTACCCCAAAACTTAATGGCTTATCACAGCCATTTTACCAGGCACATGGATTCTGTGGGTCAGGAATTTGGACAAGGTGCAGAAAGAATGCCTTGTCTCTGCTCTACAATGTCTGGGGCCTCAACAGGGAAGGCTCAAAGGCTGGGGTGACTCGGCAGCTAGGGTTTGGAATCATCCGAGTGCTTGTTCACTCCTGTGTCTGGCATCAGAGCTCAGCTGACTCAAAGACTGGGAATGCTGGCCAGAGATCTCCATGTGGCCTCCCAGTGTGGCTTGGCTTCCTGACAGCATGGCTGCCTCAGGGCAATCAAACTTCTTACTTGGTTACAGAGACCCAAGAGCAAGTGCCCCAGCAAACATGGAGGAATCTGCATTGCCTTTCAAGACCCAGCTTCAGGAGCCATACAGCGTCACTTCCCCAGCAATTTACAGGTCAAAGTAGTCTCAAGCCTGGCAAAAGGATGAACACAGGTGCCATGTCTCAACAGAAAAAGAATCAAAGAATGTCGAGGCTCTGTCCCACCATACTGCCTGAGAAAAGGTTGAGCTCTTCTTCCCAAGCATGCTACTAGATGCCTGTGGAAAGAATGAATTGTCTTCTTAATATTTGTCTGTTGACCTATGATTGTCTTGCTCTCACTCTCTCCCCTTACCCTGGAGACAGGACTCTGAGCTCCCAGCTGCTCTAGTATATATCAAGTCTTGATATAAGATCTTGACTCCACAAAATGGAGAACACAGTGGTTCTCTCTTTACAGCAGGGCTCCTAAATCTGTCAACAGCCCCCTCCTCCATAATGAATGGTCCATGTCCATTTTACAATCTGGTCCCTTAATTCCCTGTAACTTCTTGTCGGGACTTCTTAAAAGGGTGAAATACTTTTCTGAATATTGGAAAAACCCACAAAAACACAACAGAAGAATTAAACAAGTTCACAGAAGCTGGTTCACAATGCCATTTGATTAAAAATAATTGAACAAGGAAAATTAATTCCAGGCAGAACTGAGTAGTTATTTTCCTAAATTGGAGAAAATGCTTCTCTTTCCACCATCAAAGCCCCTAAAAATGCCACCAAGAGTGTTGAATAACATTAACTTGAGATGGGAAACCACATGACTTTACGCCCACACACTCGCCCTTTGGCCTGGGCATGCTTGATTCAAGAGAAGAGTTACATGTGCCTGAGCACCTCCCATCAAGTTTTAGAAGCTTTGCATTGCACTGACCAAGAGTTTCTCTTGGATTATAGCTAAGGCTGGGCATAGGCTTGTGTGCAATCATGGGACAGAAAGAGGGAGAGACTGCATCCAAAGGGAGATCAAATGAAGCAAAACAAAGACAGGGAAGGACCAGACCCAAACCCAGATCCCACCGGCAAGCTAGAACATGGCTTGGGTTGTCTGGAAGCAGTACCCAGACAGAAACCTCAGTGTGGTGAATCAGTTTCCTTGGGCATCAAGGGGATAAAGAATTTGCTGTAGAGACAGAACGTATTTATTCAAGGAATGGCTGTGAGAATTGGGCATGAGCAGCTGTGGGTGGAAAGAGGATGGAGTATGTGGCAAGGAAAAGCCACCATGAATCCCCAGTCTAGACACTAATCCCATCACCAGGGAGAAGCAAACTATCTAGAAGAAAGGGCATGTTTGGGAGAACAGGGCCAGTTGAGCATAGCTCTGAAATGACTGGTTGTGAGACCCGAGTCAGGTATTGCAAGACAAATCTTTTAAAATCACAGAGAGGAGAAAATAGACGTAATTGAAGAAGACAAATGGTAGTCTACACACAAATCTTCTTTTCTGTCCTGTAAATCAAATTCCACTATAAACAATGCCATAAGAAAATATCTACTCCTCTAAACAGCAAAGATTTCCAAGTACAAAAAAGAAGGCCCCCTTACATCAGCAATGCAATTACATCACAGCATGAAAGCAATGTTCAGAGAATCTTGTATTATTCAGGACGATCATCCATTATCGTGAGACTGATGGCATGCATCCCCACGCCTGGGCAAGGGAGAAAAGAAGATTGATCAGCAATGTCCTGCAGTATTCACTTTGAAAGGATGACACTTTTCCTGTTTTGTCACACACCCTGCTTCTTAAAGGTAGGTCCCAATTCTCTTGCGACCAGCCCTACAAATGCCTAGCAATTGCAAGGATACTTTGGGCTGCAGCAATTATTTGCAGGGATGAAGCTCTGGCCCACTCTCCCTTTAAGTGTTTTCAGGCCCATCCCAATGGCTCACGCCTATAATCTTAACACTTTGGGAGGTCAAGGGAGAGGAGCACTTAAGGCCAGGAGTTCAAGACCAGCCTGGACTACATAGCAAGACCACCCCCTCCATCTCTATAAAAACTAATTAAAACAATAACAGGGCATGGTGGTGCACACATGCCTGTGGTCCCAGCTACTTGGGAGGCTGGGGGGTGACAGATGGGGGAGAATCACCTGAGCTCAAGAGTTTGAGTGAGCAGTGAGCTCTGATCCCACCACTGCACTCCAGCCTAGGTGACAGAGTGAGACCTTGTCTCTAAATAAATAAATAAATAAAAATAGGGGCCAGGTGTGGTGACTCATGCCTGTAATCCCAGCACTTTGGGAGGCCGAGGCAGGAGGATCACCTGAGTTCAGGAGTTTGAGACCAGCCTGACCAATATGGCAAAACCCCGTCTCTACTGAAAATACAAAAGGCGGGCACCTGTAATCCCAGCTACTCGGGAGGCTGAGGCAGGAGAATTGCTTGAACCTGGGAGATGGAGGTTGCAGTGAGCCGAGATTGCGCCATTGCACTCCAGCCTGGGTGACGAGCGAAACGTTGTCTCAAAAAATAAATAAATATAATTTAAATTTTTTTAAAAGTGTTTTCGTACTGAAGAAACAACAGCAGCTCATATTTGTATCCCATTTTCATGCTTGGGAGGCATTTTTACCTACATGATCTCAGTCAATTCTCCCAAAAACCATGTGAGGTCAGGATAGCCCAGCCTAGTGTGACTCACACAGGTGCACACACTTAGCTAGAGCTCTCTGTCTCTCCTTGGGGAAGGGGAGGCACTTGGAAGGAATGAAAACACTGTCCCTCCCTGACCTTGCTGTGGACTAGGCCCTCTTTGTCCTCCAGGAAGACAAACAAGTCTTTGTGGATCTAAGGGCATAGGGGCCAGTTTAGTGGGAGCAGGGCTTTTGTGGAAAGGGGGTCCAGTCTGAAGAAGGAGTGAACTCAGATGTGTTAAAGGGACTCAGTCACCAGGTCTGGGAACCTATAGGTGGTTGGGGGCCCCTAAGTTCTGGAGGCAGTGCCAGGTGACAAGGAGCAATGCCCAGGAGTTGAGTGCCCGAAGGGTGGATGGGACGAGAGTGCCACATCTTGCACGGAAAGGGAAGCCTGCTTGCAGGGGCAAGGGTTGCCCCCAGTTGGAACTCCTCCAGGGCTGTGATGTGAGGTCTCACTGGCTGGCTTTTCTGTTCCCCGTGGAGCAGGACCATCAGTGTCTCCCCACAAGTACGATCAATATCCTGCCAGTGCTTTGAGTACCCCCAATAACATCAATGCAAATCGCTCAGCCACCCCACAGCATCCGAGACACTTGGAAGTCTCATTAGAACCCTGGACACCCAGCAAGGATGGGAGCAAGAGCTCCCATTCCTGTTCTTTGGGGCCAGATGGGCACCCTTTAGGTCACCCCAAACCAAAGACAGATGGGAGTGGACGCTTCTTTTTCATTGGCATTATTACTGTTATTATTGTTATTACTCCATCTTCACTGAAAAGTTGTTAAGGTGGAAAGAAGTTAAAGCCAGGATCTTATAGCCAGTGGATGACACCAGCCCTTTGATTCTCGGGCCCTGATTGCTTTATTATACCAGGCTCCTGCCCCAAAGGTAAACTATGCCAATGACTTGGGCCTCTGTTTGTTCACTTTAAAAATGTAAGGAGTAGAGGGAGGTCCTACACTCTCTCCGTCCCCCGCTATCCTGGACCCATGATTCTCCAGCCCTGGGGTCCTGACTTGGAGGCGGGCGGCAGGCATACTCCATGTCTCCTGCAGAATGAGCACGGGCCCTCTGAATACCTTCTCCTCCTCAGAACAGCACTTTCTTCGTCCCTGTTAGGAGCCTGCTTTATAAGGTGAGAGACTTTCTTTTCATAATGAAGCCCTTTTTAATTCTGAAAAAAAGTAAAAACCTTTGCTTGGAAGGAGTCCCGGACAGACCCAGCTTACACCAAGCTCCTTGGAAGCTGATAGCATTTCCACGCAGCCCCAGGTGCAGTCACTACGACGTGCTTGGGAGGAGAAGGACGATTTTGTGACCAGACAGAAGAGCTCTCTTCAGTACTTTGCCTGTGAAGCAGCAGCTGTTCTGTGTTCCTCTGTCCAGGAAACGAGAGATCAACTCAGAGAAAATTCAGAGAAAAGCAACAAAGATGATTAATGAGCTAGAAAAGCAAGTGACAGCCTTGCGGGGGAATACATTGGCAGAGCTGGATGGATATCACACACCAGATCCGTGCGTGTGAGCAGGAGCTGGCCACAGAGAGAGAGAGGAACTGTTTGGTTAGGGCCCAGGCAGTATCCATACTATAGAAGTAACGGGAATGAAATGGAGAGGAAAGGAAGATGTCAGCTGAAAATCAGAAACAAGTTCCTCACCAAGACACTCCCCTCTCACGACAAGGATGGAAAGCATGTTGCTTTAGCTGTTATCATGGAAGGCCCAGAAAAGGCCTTGGGAGAATCCAGTTTCAGGAAAGTGTGGAAAAATACCAGAGAGCTGTGGAGAGCCCATGGGGATCCTACAGAACAGCCTCTAGACGTCGACAGCCCTGTCATGAATTAGAATCTTTGGACAAGGTGGCAAGCCAACCAGATCCTACAGCAGCCGACAAGCGACCAAGGCTACACAGCCTTGCCTGGGACAGCTTCACGTGGTCACTGTGATTTAGATGATAATAAATAGCCCTCCCCGGCAGCCATGCAGACCTTGGGAATAAGTCTTCTTTTCTTGGTCCATTGAAGTCACTGGAACCCATCAGCAAAGTTTCATCCCCATTTGTAAATCACTGCCTTAGTCATGCAACGTAGCTCTTAAACAACTGAGGGTGTTTGTTTTTCATTCTCGTAGGCTACAAAGCGTAGATGCTAATACTGGCCGGAAAGCAGCCTTTGTTCCTATAGTTCCTGCACACTCCATCTCCCAGCTTTACTTTTCTGCTAAGGTACCGGGCCCATAGAGCTCTTTGATTGCATGTCATTACAGTACAAAATAAACAGGAGAGGTGGCCCTGGGGGCTGCCACCAGGGCAGAAGGCTGCTGTTAAATCTGGAAAACTGACTCCTGGCCATCCCTGGTCCGGATGCAGGTTATTTTTGCAGCAGCCTCTGACCCCAGACACCCTGTGGTCTCCTCTTACACATCCTCCCCATGCACTGCTTCCACCTGTTGGCTTTTGTCACCATCAGCCCCAAAGTGTCTGCACTGCCCAGACCCCACACTCATCTGAGTCCTTTCCCACACTTCCTCCCCGCCGTCTTGCTTGCTTCTGAAAGTCAGCAGGCACCACGAGGAAGGGGATTTCTCTGTCAGCCTACATGAAACTTTCACGGTGGACAGATTTCTTCAATCCAGAAAAGCCTTCGGGGGAGGGGTGGGAGGGCTCCAGTCAGAAATCCTAGAGGGTTGGCCCCGTGGAGAGAGGCTTCCACACGCCCTGCCTGCTGCTGCGGGTAGGATGCTTGGTGAGGTTCATGGTGGCCAAAGCTATAGGACTCCTCACTCAAACCCCTCAGCCTGACCCTACAGAAATGTGCTCTGCCTTGGAGAAGCCAATTAACCTCTCTGGAGGTCATTCCTTCATACCATATCACAGTGACCACAATTCTAATGCAGAGGCAGAAGACTCAACTAATTCTGCATGAAGAGAATGTGCTCATATAATTCAAATTTCCTATATTCAAGGTTTCTCCAGTAGACATGAGTATTCTAATCGGAGCACGGTATTGCACAAATGATCAAGCTCAAGGGCACAGAGTATTAGAGAAATTTGCCCAACCTCACAGACTGTGTCACGCAGCAGGGTCAAGTTTCAAACCCAATCAATCCTGTCTTATGCCAAAGCCCTTGATTTTTCAGTTATGTCCACTGTTCTGCAGTGAGTCCAACAAAATATTTGTTTCCAGTGGTTAGACTGAACTCTCTGAGACCCCGTGGTCATGTGAAGATAGCTGTGTTCATCAGAGCGCTTGGTGACTAGTAGCTTAGGAAAAAAAATAACAAATTGGAAGATTGGGAACAATAGCTCATGCCTGTAATTCCAACATTTTGGGAGGACTAGGCAGGAGGATCGCTTGAGGCCAGGAGTTTGAGACCAGCCTGGACAGCATAGAGAGACCCTGTCTCCACAAAAAATAAAAAAATTAAAAAAAAATTCGCCAGGAGTGGTGGCACGCCTGTAGTCCTAGTAACTAGGGAGGCTGAGGCAGGAGGACCACTTGAGCTCTGGAGTTTGAGGTTATGGGGAGCTATGATTGTGCCAATGCACTCCAGCCTGTGAAACAGAAAAAGACCTTGTCTCTGAAATAAAAATAACAAACTGCCCCAGTGCTGAGAAGGTCTGGGAATAGATTTTAAGCATGGCTGGGCCCACAGCTCAGACAATGTTCTGAAGTGCCTGTCTCTGCTTTTGTTATTTGGTGTTATTCTTAAGCAAGTTTTCCCCTCCCAGGGAAGGAAAACAGCTGGCAGTGACCCCAGACTCACATCCTCACTGAGCAGCCCAGAGAACAGCAGCTCTAGGAAAAGCACTGGGATTGGGTCTCACTGAGCCAGTTTGTGTCATCAGCTGGGATTGGGTTTCATTGAGCCAGTTTGTGTCTTTAGCCTCATTGTTTAGCTGGTCACTGCATTTAGGAGGTTGAAATATGCTGAGCGACCAGGTCTGGACACGAAGGCCACCCTTTGAGTATTAAGGAGGAAAAATCCACTGAAAGACCTAGTGGTGAGGAGGAGTGAGAAGAAAGGAGAAGGGCAGGAGGCCTGTGGGAAGGGGCGTCACTGGGGAGAGCCTCAGGGGACAGATGACAGGACTCACAACAGAGTGATGCTCAGCCTGCTCCACGGCCATCTGCAACCTGCTCTGAGGATGGGGACCCAGTGACAGTGAACCGTGAAGGAGAGACAAATCTGCCTCTCACCCCAATCACAAGAGCTGCCTGCTCTGGCCAGATCCTGAGCATGGGCAGCAGAGCCTGTCTGAGGTCCTCCGCTTCTTGCGGAGCTTCTGTCCTCACTCTGGAGGAACAGTGAGGATGGAGCCTCTACCCTAGCCAGGAAGAAGAAAACAGCTCCAGAAGCTGAGGAGACCACAGGGCCTCTCTCATAAGAACAAGGATGGCCATCTATGACACAACATATGGCCCACAGTGTTCACTAAAAAATTGCTAAAAGCAGGCCAGGTGCAGTGGCTCACTCCAGTAATCCCAGCACTTCGGAGACTGAGGCAGGAGATCCCTTGAGCCCAGGAGTTCAAGACCAGCCTGGGCAACATGGCGAAACCTCATCTCTACAAAAACAAAAAAGAAAGCAAAAACGTAACTGGACATGGTGGTGCACACCTGTGGTCTCAGCTACTTGGGAGGCTGAGGTGGGAGGATCGCTTAAGCCTGGGGGTGTCAAGGCTGCAGTGAGCTATGATGGCGTCACTGCACTTCAGCTTAGACTAGATGACAGAGCAGGACCCTGTCTCAAAAAATATGTATATATTATAAATATATAATATATATTATATATATATGTTATATATATATAATATATATTATATTTATAAATATAAATATATAATATATTATATATATAATATATATTATATATATTATATATTATATATATAATATATATAATAAATATATAATATATATATTTAAAATATAATATATATAATACAAATATATTTAAAATATAATATGTAATATATGTATTGTATATAGTTATATATAATTTATATATTTAAATTTATAATATATATATTTATATGTGATTCTCTCATTTTTAAAAAATTGCTAAAGGCAGATGGGAATTCTGGTCTTGTAGGGCTTGGTGGCCCTTCTCAGAAATAAGCAGTCGGGCGTGCCTTAGAAACATGAAAGCCAAATTCATGGCCAGTCTACGAGACCTGCACTCTGTGAGGCTCCTTGTAGCGTGGAATGTAGTGGGCACAAAACTCTTGGAAGCACTACTCCAATCCTATCATTTTATACATGAGGAAACTGAGGCTTCCAAGGTGAAGCAAGATGGCCAAGATCACACCCGGAATCAGCCTCTGCAGAGACGACAGACACTTACTGGGCACTTCTTTGGAACAAAAGCTCACACCAGCCTCAAACTTTGCTCTGTTGTCTTGGCCCATTTTCTGTTGTTATAGAGGAATACCTGAGGCTGGGCAATTTGTAAAGAAAAGAGGTTGCCTGGGCACGGTGACTCATGCCTGTAATCCCAGCACTTTGGGAGGCCAAGGCGGGTGAATCACCTGAGGTCAGGAGTTCAAGACCAGCCTGGCCAACATGGTGAAACCCCGTCTCTACTAAAAATACAAAAAAAAAAAAAAAAAATAGCCGGGTGTGGTGGCGGATGCATGTACTCCCAGCCACTCAGGAGGCTGAAGCAGGAGAATCTCTTAAACCTGGGAGGCGGAGGTTACAATGAGCCAAGATCACGCCATAGCACTCCAGCCTGGGCAACAAGAGCGAAACCCCATCTGAAAAAAAAAAAGAAAGAAAGAAGTTCACTTAGCTCACAGTTCTGCAGGCTGTACCAGATGCATGATGCCAGTATTTGTGCTGCTTCTGGTGCTGGGTTAAAACACAGTGGAGAAGGTCATAGAGGAAGCAGATACGTGTGAAGAGGGAGAACCTGAGAGGCATCCTGGCTTTATAACAACACACTCGCATGGAAACTAATCCATTCCCTTGAGAACAAATCCACTTCCACAAAAATGGCACCACGCTGTTCATGAGGGATATGCCCCTGTGACTCAAACCCTCCCACAAGGACCCACCTCCCAGCGCCACCCCACTGGTGGTGCTGGGGATCAAATTTCAACATGAGATTTGGAGAAAACAAACATCCAAGCACGGCATCTGTCTACCTAGGTCCTCGTCTGCCCCTTCAACTCCGCACGAGTCTTGTCCACTCTACCCACAGGATGTCTCTTGCATCTGTCCACTCCCCTCCACATGGACTCCTAGACTAAGCTAGCACGGCCAGTCTCAATGAAAACACAGCAATAGCCTCCTTCCCCCAAGGACTCTCCTCCCACATTGAAGCCAGAGTGATCCTATGAACATAAATCCCACAGGGCACCCACAGACCTCTCCTGTCTCACCATGGGCCTCTCTCACCCACTGTATTAGGCCATTCTTACATTGTCATAAAGAAATACTTGAGACTGGATAATTTATGAAGAAAAGAGGTTTAATTGGCTCATGGTTCTGCAGGCTGTACAGGAAGCATGGTGCTGGCATCTGCTTGGCTTCTAGGGAGGCCTCAGGAAGCTTCCAATCATGGCGGAAGGCAAAGCAGGAGCAGGCACGTCACATGGCGAAAGCAGGAGCAAGCGAGAGAGAGAGTGTGTGGGGAGGGGCCACACCCTTTTAAGCGACCAAATCTCATGTGAACTGAGAGCGGAGCTCACTTATTACCAAGGGGACAGCCCAGGCCATTCATGAGGGATCCACTCACCCCCATGATCCAATCACCCGCCACCAAGCCCCACCTCTAACATTGGGGTTACACATGCGATCTCGGTGGGGCCACATATCCAAACCATATCACCCACCTTCTGCCCTGCAGCCTCCGTGGCCCTCCTCTGCTTCCTCAAGTCATCCTTGCCCCCTGCAACCTCAAGGCCGTGGCACACACTGGGCTATCCCCCCACCAGCAGCTCTGCCCCTTGGAGCCCCCACGAGACTAGCATGTGGAGGGTGAGCTGGTTGGGTAGCGGAGGGGGTTCCTGCAGGAGTGTTAGCATCTCCACACAAGCCTTGACAGCCCTGCTCTTCTCCTCGATGGCCCCCACAGTGGGTCTCATCCTAATGGCACACCCAGAGATTCTGCCGTGATGGTTCTGGGTGTAGCCTGAACCACAGAGTTTTTCAAAGCTCCCCAGGCGAGGCTAATGGTCAGCCAAGGTTGAGAATCACTGCCCTGAACATAGCATGAGGATGATAGGCGGGTCGTTTCTTACTGAAAGGCCCCTATGTGCCAATCACTGAGTTACACACTCTGTGGCTGGCTTCACTGAAGTCTCACCAAAGCTACAGGAGCTGAGGATGATGATCTCCATTTGCAGGTGAGGAAAACCAGGCTCAGAGAGGGGAAGGAACTCGCCAAGGTCACGTAGCTCAAGGCAGCAGAGCCGAGCATGAGCCCAGGGGTGGCTGCCTCCAAAGCCTGCATTCCTAACCATTCTAAACCCTGTGCCCTCCATGGGTTTCAGTAAGGTGCACAGAGAATGCCAAACTTCACAGTCCTCTGAGATATAAAATGTAGATGTGCCACCATGGAGGAGCCAACGAGAAAGAGTCCAAAATATGGAAACACATGTTTTGTTCCTGATGTCAGACCCTGTAAATACCACAAATAACACATCAGCATGTCCTCCCATCACTGTCAACAAACTATAAAACACCCTTTAAACAGCCCAGAGTCATGACTGTACAGAAATCAAATCCAGCAATTCAATTTTCCGAGGAATGTTTTTTTGTTTTTTGAGACGGAGTCTCACTCTGTCTCGCCCAGGCTGGAGTGCACTTGGCTCACTGCAGCCTCCACCTCCCAGGTCCAAGCGATTCTCCTGCCTCAGCCTCCTGAGTAGCTGGGACTACAAGTGTGCACCACCACGCTCAGCTAATTTTGTATTTTTAGTAGAGACGGGGTTTCACCATGTTGGCCAGGTTGGTCTCGAACTCCTGACCTCAGGTGATCTACCTGCCTTAGCCTCCCAAAGTACTGGGATTACAGGCATGAGCCACCGCGCCTGGCCCCAAGGAATGCTTTGCTTAACTGACTCCCTCCACTTGCTTTGTAAGAAACTCTAGTTCAAGTTCATGTGCAGAAGCTCCTTGAAACCTGTGAAAGGAGGTGCTGGGCATCAGGTGAGGAACACCTGGTACTCGTCTCCTCGTCAGCCTCTGTGGCTTCCACTAGGCATTTGTTATGAATTTTCTTTTTCATTGAGTCCTCACCAGTAATCCATGATCTGATCCAATATAAAAAGACTTTCAATTATTTAGATAATAACATCTTACATTTATATAGTGCTTTACCATTTTCAAAGTACTTTCGCATATCTTATTTCATTTGCATATCAGGCATTCAGTGTTGGCTACATTTGTATAGATAAATACAAGTGATGAATAGGCAAAGTCTAAAAAAATACTGTATTTCATTATCATCTCCAAATGTTGTTTCAAATAAGACAAATTAAATAAATATATTAAAATGAGAAGCCTCTTAAGGAAAGCATCACATATTTATAAAGTTACCTTTTCCAAGACTAGCAAAGTAATGAGCATGATGAGGAACTCAAAGCATGTTTCTAGAGACTTCCGTTTCCAGCAATATGGTAGACTGCTAAGCTGACACATCCAATTGCTGAAAACAACCCAAAATATTGAACAAACTACTTTTTAAATAATAATAATTTGTTGAAGACAACCAAGAAACTAAGGAATACTTGGAGGGCAATACTAAGTAAAGTCAAGAATGTGAAGAGATTTAAGTAAAATTAATTACCTAGCGAGCACCAAAATCAACGTTTACCTTGAGGACATTGGTCAAGCTCAGTAATCTGAGAAGTGCAGGAAACAGGAGATAAGATGGAGAGTCTAATAAGAAACACCTAGAGCTTCCTGTAACGCTAGCGTACTCTTTTTTTTTTTTTTTTTTTTTTTTTTTTTTGACACAGAGTTTCGCTCTTGTTGCCCAGGCTGAAGTACAATGGCGCGATCTTGGCTCACTGCAACCTCCGCCTCCCAGGTTCAAGCGATTCTCCTGTTTCAGCCTCCCAAGTGGCTGGGGTTACAGGCACCCACCACCACGCCTGGCTAATTTTTGTATTTTTAGTAGAGACCAGGTTTCACCATGTTGGTCAGGCTGTTCTCCAACTCCTGTCCTCAGGCAATCCACCCGCCTCGGCCTCCCAAAGTGCTGGAATTACAGGCTTGAGCCACCGCACCTGGCCAACGCTAGCTCACTCTTAGTGGAAAGGTGAACTAGACCAGGGATTGCAGAGAAGATTGCTGTCTTGAGGCTTGGCATAGCATAAAAGGGAAAAACCTACCCTGAGAATCTGTAACCTCAAGCCAGCCCACATGTGAGTCTGCTGTTCTTATCTGCTTTAGTGGCCCTAAATAACTCAAGCTGGAAATTTGGTGGTCCTCAAAACCCGCAACTGAGAGTTTTGTTTACAAAGACCTACTCTAAAATTCCAGCTCTGGGGAAGATGGAGTAACCACATTCCATCCTGTCTCCCCCACCAAATGCCAGAACACAATGCACAGAGAAGCTGAGGACTCTAAAAAGTAAATAGCCGGGCGCGGTGGCTCACGCCTGTAATCCCAGCACTTTGGGAGGCCAGACAGGCGGATCACCTGAGGTCAGGAGTTTGAGACCAGCCTAGCCAACATGGAAATACCCTGTCTCTTTGTAAAAATACAAAAATTAGCCAGGTATGGTGGCACACGCCCATAATCCCAGCTACTTGGGAGGCTGAGGCAGGAGAATCGCTTGAACCTGGGAGGCAGAGGTTGCGGTGAGCCAAGATAGTGCCATCGCACTCCAGCCTGGGCAACAGAGACTCCGTCTCAAAAAAATAAAAAGTAAATAACCTGCCAGGAGCTGTGGCTCACACCTGTAATCCCAGTACTTTGAGAAGCCCAGGTGGGCAGATTGCTCAAGCTCAAGAGGTCAAGACGGGGATGAAAACCCATCTCTACAAAATACAAAAACAAATAGCCGGACATGGTGGTGCATGCCTGTGGTCCAAGCTACTTGGGAGGCTGAGATGGGAGAATTGCTTGAGCCCAGGGAGGTCAAGGCTGCAGTGAGCCATGATCATGCCACTGTACTCCAGCCTGGGTGACAGAGCGACAAGACCTTGTCTCAAAAAAAAAAAAAAAAAAAAAGTAAATAGCAGCAGGCAGAAAAAATCAGAAGACAAGAATTCAGATTACTGCTGAGCTGGCAGGAAGTTGACCATTTTCCCCTCTTCAGTCCTCCTGCTGCTTGGCCCCAGCCATGGTACACTGGTAGAAGATGCATCACAGATAAGGGGAATGAAAGCCCAGATTTCTGGCAAGAGGACTAGAAAGATGAGCCCCAGCATATAAGAAAGCCCTGAACAAGTGGCTGGGCATGGTGGCTCATGCCTGTAATCTTAGCACTTTGAGAGGCCGAGGCAGGTGGATTGCCTGGGCTCAGGAGTTCGAGACCAGCCTGGGCAACATGGTGAAAGAAATCATGAAGAAGAAGGGGCTTGGCAAAGTGACACCATAAAGTTATATATAAACTCCCAAATTTAGCAAACAGTATAAATTTAGAGATAAATTCAAAGAAATTTATCTTTGAATTTCTTTGAATTTAGGATAAATTCAAAGAAATCAATGCCAAGATACATCATAAGCAAACCTCTGAAAACAAAGAAAACATCTCTAAAACAATCAGAGAAAAGTGCCACAATGCAGGGTGCGGTGGCTCACGCCTGTAATCCCCGCACTTTGGGAGGCATAGGCGGGTGGATCACGAGATCAAGAGTTCAAAGCCAGCCTGGCCAACATGGTGAAACCCCGTCTCTCCCAAAAATACAAAAATTAGCCAAGCGTGGTGGTGCAGACCTGTAATCCCAGCTACTCAGGAGGCTAAGGCAGGAGAATTACTTGAACCGGGGAGGCAGAGGTTGCAGTGAGCCGAGATCATGCCATTGTACTCCAGTCTAGGTGACAGAGCAAGACTCCGTCTCAAAAAAAAAAAAAAAAAAAAAAAGAAAAAGAAAAATGCCACAATGCCCATAGAGAAAGAAAAATTGAAATGACTATGGATTTCTCATCAGAAACTATGGAGGCCAAAAGGAAGTGGCACATTTTTTTTAATGCTGAAAAAACAGACCTGTCAACCCACAATTTTGCAGCCAGCAAAAATATTGTTCAGAAAGGAAGATGAAATAAAGACATTCTCAATGGAAGGAAAACTAACATTCACTGCCAGCAGATCTCTCTAAAAAAATTGCTAGGGCCGGGCGCAGTGGCTCCCGCCTGTAATCCCAATACTTTGGGAGGCCAAGGTGGGTGGATCACCTGAGGTCAGGAGTTCAAGACCAGCCTGACCACATGGTGAAACCCTGTCTCTACTAAAAATACAAAAATTAGCCAGACATGGTGGCATGCACCTGTAATCCCAGCTACTGGGGAGGCTGAGGCAGGAGAATCACTTGAACCCGGAAGGCAGAGTTTGCAGTGAACCGAGATCATGCCATTGTACTCCAGCCTGGGTGACAGAGCAAGACTCAGTCTCAAAAAAAAAAAAGCATTCCTAGATAAAGTTCTTCAGAAAGAAGAAAAACGGTATTTGGAAGGAAACTGGAAACATCAGAAATGAAAGAAACAGACATGGTAAATATCTAAATGAATACATTATTCTCCTGTTGAGCTTCTTAAAACATGTTGGTGACTGAAAGCAAAAATTGTAATATTTTCTAATGAGCTTTCATATATATATACACACACATATATGTAACATATAAGAGAAGTATAACAGAAAGAGGGAGAATAAAGGGACCTGTATGGTAGAGGGGAGGAGATAATAAAGATAGATGCATAAATTACTGAAACAGGTAGGGTGCAGTGGCTCACGCCTGTTATCCCAGCACTTGGGGAGTCCATGGCAGGTGGATTGCTTGAGGCCAGATGTTCGAGACCAGTCTGACCAACATGGCAAAACTCCATGTCTAATAAAAATACAAAAATTAGCCAGGCATGGTGGTGGGCTCCTGTCATCTCCTGTCATCTCAGGAAGCTGAAACATAAGAATTGCTTGAACCCAGGAAGCAGAGTTTGCAGTCAGCTGAGATCACACCACTGCCCTCCAGCATGGACAACAGAGTGAGATTCCATCTCAAAATAATAATAATAATATTAATTAATTAATTAATTAATGAAACAAAAAGCAAGCAAATAAAGAGAAAAAAGTTATTAAAATTATTTTTAACCTCTGAAGAGGGTAATTTAAAAACACCTCTAAAAAGAATAATGAAGAAAAAATATGAAAATTCACAATAAATAATAACACAAAAAGGAACTGATACCTATAAATACAGCAGAGATTAGACGGATAAGAGAGTACTTCAACAGCTTTGTGCTAATAACATTGAAAATGTATACATTCTTAGAAAAATTGGTTTTTAAAACTGATTACAAAATAAAAAGAAATATGGATTAGGCCAGTAGTCTAAATTTTCTAGTAAAGAGAACACTAGGCCAAAACAGTTTACAGGAGAATCCTAATAAACTTAAGGAACAAAGAAATATTTTTAAAAATGTACCAAGAAATAGAAAATGAGGAACAACTCAACAACTCCACGGTTATGAGGCCAGTGTGATTTTGACAACAAAACCTAAACAAGAAAAATTTGAGAATTTAAAATTCTAAGCCCATTTAATTCATGAATAAATATGCAAAAACTCCCAAGCAAATATTAGCAAACCAAATCCAACCACATATTTTTTTTTCTTGCGATAGCATATTTTTTAAAAAATAAAACAACCGGGCACGGTGGCTCACACCTGTAATCCCAGCACTTTAGGAGGCCAAAGCGGGCGGATCACCTGAGGTCAAGAGTTCGAGACCAACCTAGCCAACACGGTGAAACCCCCATCTCTACTAAAAATACAAAAATCAGTTGGGCATGGTGGCAGGCAACTGTAGTCCTAGCTACTCGAGACGCTGAGGCAGGAGAATCACTTGAACCTGAGAGGAGGAGGTTGCGATGAGCCGAGATCACGCCACTGCACTCCAACCTGGGTGACAGAGTGAGACTTTGTCTCAAAAAAAAATAAAAAATAAATAAAAGCAAAACACAACACAACAAAGTTGAGTTTATCTCAGGAATTCAAGACTGATTTTATATTTTAAAATCCACTGATATTAAATGTTAAAGGAGAAAAATCTTATTATCCTCTCCATAGATGCAGAAAAAGCATTTTATAAAATTCCACACCCATTTATGATTTTTAAAAAGTTTCCTAACTATTAACAAATCAGAAGTAAAAGGAAATTTCCTTAATCTCTCTCTCTTTTTTTTTTTTTTTTTTTTTTTTTTTGAGATGGAGTCTGGCTCTGTCGCCCAGGCTGAAATACAGTGGCACAATCTCAACTCACTGCAACCTCCACCTTCCTGGTTCAAGGGATTCTTGTACCTCAGCCTCCCGAGTAGCTGGGATTACAGACTTGTACCACCATGTCCGGCTAATTTTTGTATTTTTAGTAGAGATGGGGTTTTGCTGTGTTGGCCAGGCTGGTCTCAAACTCCTGGTCTCAAATGATCCGACTGTCTCGGCCTCCCGAAGTGCTGGGATTACAGGCATGAGCCACTGTGCCCAGCCGAAAAATTCCTTAATCTGATTAAAAAGACATCTATTTAAAACTTCTCAATTGTTTGGTTTCCCGTCTGGCATTTAAGGAGCTTGGAAGTCATCACCCCATCCTAACAACAAGTGAAAAGCTGAACAGACTGAAAAATCAACAACTCTTCTGAAGTCCATCAGAGAAGTGAGGTCACATGGCAAATCACTGTCCCCAGAGTTGAAGAGACAGATATGCAAATACAGAGAATCACAACCTACCAAACCAGAAACCCATGAGCAGAAACTTCCACAGAAACCAGTACCACAGCAGAGAAATCTAAGCTACAATCGACCGATTTCTGGGAGCTCTGTGTGGACTAGCCTAAGAGTTCAAAACTCCAAGGGGACCCAGTCATAGAGGAGGACCCACACTTTTATGACTTTGACCTCCTTGAGATTGACCAGGTTCTCACACTGAGACAGAAAAAAACCTACTCATGGCAGTGGGGAGGAAAAGGAACCATTTTAAAATATGCTGGAGCATTCTGTTCTTCTTAACAAGGCCTGCCCTCAAGGGCTCCCGGGCGTGGTGGCAGGCGCCTGTAATCCCAGCTACTCGGTAGATTACTATATTACAATTCCTTCCAGCCAGTACATCGTGTCCAGCTATCAAGAAAAAGTACAAGTCATAGTAAAAGGCAAAGAAAACACACACACACACACACACACACACACACACACACACACACACACAATTTGGAAAGGCAAAGCAAGCATCAGAACCAGATTCAGATGACAGGGACGGTGGAAATATCAGACCAGAAATTTTAAATAATTAAGATTTTTTTTTTTTTTGAGACGAGTCTGGCTCTGTCACCCAGGCTGGAGGGCAGTGGCTCAATCTGGGCTCACTGTAGGCTCCACTTCCCAAGCTCAAGTGATCCTCCCACCTCAGCCTCCCAAGTAATTGGGATGACAGGCACATACCACCACGCCCAGCTAATTTTTGTATTGTTTTGGGATTACAGGTGTGAGCCACTGCCACCAGCCCCTTTTATTTTTAACCTATATGTATCATTATATTTAAAATGGATTTCTTGTAGACAACATATAGTTGGGTCTTGTTTTTTGATCCACTCTGACAATCTCTGTCTTTTACTTGAGGTATTTAGACCATTGATGCTTAAAGTTATTATGGATATAGTTGGGTCAATATCTATGATATTTGTTGCCATTTTCTTTCCATTGCCCTTGTTCTTTATTCCTATTTTTGTTTCCTACTCATTTTCTGCCTTTTGTAGTTTTCTCTTTTTTCAAGATAGGGCCTTGCTGTGTTGCCCAGGCTGGAGTGCAGTGGCACAATCACGGCTCACTGCAGCCTCGACTTCACTGGCTCAAGCAATCCTTCTACCTCAGCCTCCCAAGTGGCTGGGACTCCAGGCATGCACCACCACACCTGGCTAATTTTTTTTTTTTTTTTTGCAGAGATAGGGTTAATTGAGCATTTTTTCCTCCTTTCTTAACATATCAGTTATAATCATTTTTTAAAGTTTTTTTTAGAGGTTGCCCTAGAATTTGCAGTGTACATTTAGAGCTAATCCAAGTCTTCTTTCAAATAACACCATGCCACTTCATGGGTAATGCTAGTGCTTTATAATAATAAAATAGGCCGGGCACGGTGGCCCAAGCCTGTAATCCCATCACTTTGGAAGGCCAAGGCTGGCAGATCTCCTGAGGTCAGGAGTTCAAGACCAGCCTGACCAACATGGTGAAACCCTGTCTCTACTAAAAATACAAAAATTAGCTGGGCATGGTGGCAGGTGCCTGTAATCCCAGCTACTCAGGAGGCTGAGGCAGTAGAATCACTTGAACCTGGGAGGTGGAGGTTGCAGTGAGCAGAGGTCTCACCACTGCACTCCAGCCTGAGTAACAGAACAAGACTCAGTCTCAAAAAAATAAAATATAATAACAAAATAATACCAATCTCTCATTCCTATCTCTTGTATTACTGTCTTCATTCATTTCATTTATTCATATGTGTTATGGACCAAATGTTTGTGTTCCCCCCAAATTCATATGTTGAAGCCCTAATCTCCAATGTGATAATATTTGGAGATTGGGCCTTTGGCAAGTAATTAGGACTAGAGGAGGTCCAGAGGGCAGAGCTCTGGTCTAATGGTATTGCTACCCTTATATGAAGAGACAACAGAGAGCTTTCTTTTGTTTTGTCTGCCATGTGAGGACAGAGTGAGGAGAGCCAGGTTGAGGGCCCTCTCCAGAACCTGAGCACACTGGCACCTTGATCTCAGACTTCCAGGCTCCAGAACTGAGAGAAAATAAATTCTATCGTTTAAACCTCTGTCTATGGTATTTTATTATGACAGCAGACAGAGCCATTATTATTTTAAACAAACTTTTAACTGTTAGATCAATTATGAATAAGAAAAATAAAAATTTTTATCTTACTTTCACTTTTTCCTTCTCCAATTCTCTTACTTTTTTGTAGATTCAACTTTCTAATCCATATCATTGTCTTTTTTTCTGAAGTATTTATCATTTCTTGCAAGGCAGGTCTACTGGCAACAAATTCGGTTAAGTTTTCCCTGTCTGAGAAAGTCTTTATGTTGGCTGGGCATGGTGGCTCACGCCTGTAATCCCAGCACTTTGGGAGGCCAAGGTCGGTGGATCAGTTGAGGCCAGGAGTTCATGACAAGCCTGGCCAACATGGAGAAACCCCATCTCTGCTAAAAATTCAAAAAATTAGCCAGGCGTGGTGGCACATGCCTGTAATCCCAGCTACTCAGGAGGCTGAGACAAGAGAATCACTTGAATCCTGGAGGCAGAGGTTGCAGTGAGCCGATATGATGCCATTGCACTCCAGGCTGAGCACCAGAGCAAGACTCCGTCTAAAAAACAAAAAAAGTCTATTTTTTTCTTCGCTTTTGAAGAATAATTTCACAGGGCAGAACATTCTGGGCTGGTGTTTAGGGTTTTTTTTTTTTCTCAACACTTTAAGTATTTCACTCCATTCTCCTCTTCCTTACATGGTTTCTGAGGAGAAAGTAAATATGATTCTTATCTTTGCTCCTCATAAAGTGTTTTTTCCCTCTGGATTCTTTTAAGATTTATTTATTTTTTATTTCCTGTAGTTTCACCTGGTTGCCCAGGCTGGTCTTGAACTCCTGAGCTCAGGTGA
The DNA here is from genome assembly GCF_000001405.40 of Homo sapiens. Classification (NCBI taxonomy): domain Eukaryota; kingdom Metazoa; phylum Chordata; class Mammalia; order Primates; family Hominidae; genus Homo; species Homo sapiens. Next base: position 235,037,944 of record NC_000001.11, read on the forward strand.
TCTGCCTGCCTCAGCCTCCCAAAGTGCTGGGATTACAGGTGTGAGCCATGGCACCCGGCCAGTTAAATAATTATGAGTAACATGTTGAGAAATCTAATGGATAAAACAGACAACATGGAAGAACAAATAGGCAGTGTAAGCACAGAGATAGATATTCTAAGGAAAAAAATCAAAAAGAAATGCTAGAGACTAAAAATACTGTAAGAGAAATGAAGAATTCCTTCAATGGACTCAACTGGGGAGAGACTGTCTGAGCTTGAGGATCTGACAACAAAAACTTCCAAAATGAAAAATCAAAGAGAGAGAAGACTGAAAAACAGAAGATTATCCTAGAACTGTTGTACAACTACAAAAGATGTAACAGACACATAATGGGAATACCAGAAGGAGAGGAAAGAGAGCAAAAAAAAAAAACAGAAGAAACATTCTTGAGGCTGGGCATGGTGGCTCACACCTATAATCCCAGTTCTTCAGGAGGCCGAGGCGGGCGTATCTTTTGAGCTCAGGAGTTCGACGCCAGCCTGGCCAACATGGTGAAATCCCATCTCCACAAAAAATACAAAAATTAGCCAGGTGTGGTGGCACGCCCTTGTAGTCCCAGCTACTCAGGAGGCTGAGGTAGGAGGATCACTTGATCCCAGAAGGCAGAGGTTGCAGCAAGCTCAGCCACCCCACCAAACTCCAGCCTCGGCAGCTGAGGAAACCCTGTCTCAAAAAAAAAGGAAGGAGAAGAAGGAGGAGAAGAAACATTTGAAGCAGTAATTACTGAGAATATTTCCCAAATTAATGTCAGACACAAAACCACAGATCTAGGAAACTCAGAGAACACCAACCTGGATAAATACAAAAAAAAAAAAACAAACTATACTAGGTATATTGTATTGAAACTACAGGAAATCAATTAAACAAAGGGATGAAGAAAAATATACCATCCTAACACTAATCGAAAGAAAGCAGGGGTAGCTACATTAATGTCAGGCAGAGCAGATTTCAGAGCAAGGAAAGTTATCAGGGATAAAGAGAAGCATTGCATGATGATAAAGGGGTCAGTTCTCCAAGAAAACATAATAATTCTTAATGTGTATGCACCTAACAACAGCATCAAAATATACGAGACAAAGACTGACAGAACTGCAGAGAGAAATAGATAAATCTACTATTATAGTTGGAGGTTTCAACACCTCCTATCGGAAATGGACAAACTCAGCAGGCAGAAAATCATAAGGGAATAGTGGAATTCAATAACACCATCCGTCATCTGGCTGTAATTGACATCGATCAACTACTTCATTCCAGCAACAACACAATACACATTCTTCTCAGGCTCACATGGAACATTCACCAAGATAGATCCCATCCTGGGCCATAAAACACACCTTAACAATTTTTTAAAAACAAAAGTTATAAAACGTCTGCTCTCAGACTAAAATGGAATTTAACTAAAAACCAGTCATGGAAAGAAAGCTGGAAGTGTTCGAAATACTTGGAGATTAAATACTGCACTTTTACATAACACACGGCTCAAAGAAGAAATCTCAAGAGATATGGGGGTAGGGGGAGGAAGTTGGTTAAAAGATACAAAATTTCAGTTAGGCAGGAGAAATAAATTCAAGAGACCTGTTGTACAACCTAGTGACTGTAGTTAATAACAATGTATCAAATTCTTGAAAATGTGAAGTAGATTGTAAGTGTTCTCACCAAAAAAATGATAATTTTGTGAGGTCATATGTATGTTAATTAGCTCAATTTAGCCATTCTACTGTATGTATATAGTGGAATATACCTAGAAATATAATATATTGAAATATATATATAATATATATATTTCAAAATATATATTTCAAAACATCATGTTACACACAATAATACACACAATTTTATCACTTTAAAAAATTAAAATTCAATAAAATAATCTCAAGAGAAATAAAAATATTTTGAACTAAATGAAGATGAAAGTGTGAGTTATCAAATTTTGTGGGATGCAGCAAAAGCAGTGCATAGAGGAAGATTTATAGCCTTGAATACATATATTAGAAAAGAAGAAAGATCTAAAATCAATAATCTAAGCTTCCTTTTTAGAAAACTAGAAAAAATAGCAAATTAATTCTGAAGTAAACAGAAGAAAAGAAATAATACAGTCAGGCAAGATGGCTCATCCCAGCACTATGGGAGGCCGAGGAAGGTGGATCACTTGAGGTCAGGAGTTCGAGACCAGCCTGGCCAACATGGCAAAATCCTGTCTCCACTAAAACTACAAAAAAATTAGCTGGGCTTGGTAGCGTGTGCCTACAGTCCCAGCTACTCAGGAGGCTGAGACAGGAGAATTGCTTGAACCCAGGAAGTGGAGGTTGCAGTGAGCCGAGATCTCACCACTGCAGCCCAGCCTGGGTGACAGAGTGAGACTCTGTCTCGAAAAAAAAAAAAAAAAAATCAAAATGAATCATAGGCCTACATGTAAAGTGCACAAATGCACAACTATAAAATTCCTAGAAGATAACGTAGGAGAAAACGTAGATGACCTTGGATTTGGTGATGACTTTTTAGATGCAACACTAAAGCCCCAGATGTGCCAGGCCTGGTGGCTCACGCCTGTAATCCCAGCACTTTAGGAGGCTGAGGCAGACGGATCACCTGAGGTCGGGAGTTCGAGACCAGCATGGTCAACATGGAGAAACCCCATCTCTACTAAAATTACAAAATTAGCTGGGCATGGTGGCACATGCCTGTAGTCCCAGCTATTTGGGAGGCTGAGGCAGGAGAATCACTTGAACCCAGGAGGGGGAGGTTGCAGCGAGCCGAGATTGCACCACTGCACTCCAGCCTGGGTGACAGAGCCAGACTCTGTCTCAATAAATAAATAAATAAATAAATAAATAAATAAATAAATAAAGGCCAAGATGCAACACTAAAGAGCCAACAAATCCTACCAAAGTTTTAACCCGTTCTACCAAGAAACACATACTATTCCAGAGTATACATAGAGAAGAAGCAGTCTCCAACCCCTTTTATGAAACTATCATAGTCTTGATTGTGAAACCCAACAATAATATTATAAGAAAGGGAAGTTATAAGCTTCATCAGTGACCATACCAACAGAAATAATACATGGAAGTAGGATAATTTAAGTCAGGCACAGTGGCTTGCACCTGTAATCTCAGTTACTCAGGAGGCCAAGGCAGGAGGATTACTGGGGCCAGGAGTTTGAGACCAGCCTGGTCAACATAGTGAGATCCCTGTCTCTAAAAAAACAACATAAAAAATTGTAATGAAATAGGATAATTTGGAGAAGATTTATTTACAATGTGTGGTTGAAGGGGAACAACAAGAGATCTTGTTCTTGAGATAGGAACCAGGGAAGAGGAAGCTTACCAGACCTCAGAAGAAGAGAGAGTGGTTAGAGCCAGCAACTCATGTCTCAAAAAATATAACCAGCCTGAAATGAACACAGTATCCTCCCTTCCTCCAGTCTCCTGCCAGGGTTCCCCACTGGCCTGATCCAGCTGTCAACCAGAGGGTACAGGACCTCAGTGAAGAAATTCACATGGGCCAGCCCTGCTGGGCAGTGGGCAAGGTGGAGTAAGAGGAGCAAGCACATCTGGAAGGGCAAGGGAAGATCTCCAAATTGCAGGCCAAACTTGCTCATAAATTTAGACTGAAAATTCTTTTTTAAAAATTATCAAGTTAAATCTAGCAGTGTATAAAAAAGCTAATATGGAATAACCAAGACAGGTTACATTTTAAAATGCAAGTTTGCTTTAACTTTTGTTCTGTTTTTTTTTTTTTTTTTTTTTTTTTTTTTTTCAGATGGAGTTTCACTCTTGTTGCCCAGGCTGGAGTGGAGTGGCACAATCTCAGCTCACTGAAACCTCCACCTCCCGGGTTCAAGCAATTCTCCTGCGTTACCCTCCCAAGTAGCTAGAATTACAGGTGCCTGCCACCATGCCTGGCTAATTTTTTTAATAGTTTTAGTAGAGACAGGGTTTCACCATGTTGGCCAGGCTGGTTTTGAACTCCTGACCTCAAATGATCCACCAGCCTCAGCCTCCCAAAGTGCTAGGAATTCAGGCGTGAGCCACCACAGCCAGCCTGCTTTAACTTTAAAAAAACAAATTAACTAAAAAAACAAATTTTTCTCCTTTAAAAAATTAAAGAAGAAAGAAATCTTGGTTATCCCTATAGATGTAGGAAAGATGTTTCCTAGGATTCAATATCCATTCATGATTAGAAAAAAAAAAATTAGTAAACTAGGAATAGAAAAATATTTTCCTTAACCTGATAAAGGAGATCTACAAAATAATAATAATAATAATAAGCCTATAGCAAACATCAGAAACTGAAATGTTGAAGGCTTTCCCTCTGAGCCTTCAACAAGATGAGGATGCCTGATAACCCCACTCCTTTCAACATTATGCTAAAGGTCTCACAGGATGTCAGACAATGGAATAAGGCAAGAAGAAGAAATAACAGGAGGTTTAGGAAGAGACAACCCGTTAATATTACAGGTGACATAAGTCTACAAAGGAATTCCCCTAAATAATATACATATATTATTAACTTATTAGAGTTAATAAGAGTATAACAAGATTTCTGAACACAAAATCAGGATACAAGTCAGTTGTGGCTGGGTGTGGTGGCTCACGCCTGTAATCCCAGCACTTTGAGAAAGGAAGAAACCAGCTTGTATACCAGGTGCCACAGACTGCGAGGCTTAATCTACACATTTCTGGAGGCTGGGATTCTGAGACCAAGGTGACTGCAGGGATGCCTCCTTCCGAGGACTTTCTCATTGGCTTGCAGATGGCCGCCTCCGTTCTGAGTCTTCACTTGATCTTCCCTCTGCGTGTGGCTGTTCTAATCTGGTCTTCTGAGATAGACACCAGTCATGTTGAATTAGGGTGTACCCTCATGGACTCATTTTAATTTCATTCCCTCTTTAAGATCCTATCTCCAAATACACATTCTGAGGTGCTAGGCGTTAGGGCCTCAACTTATGAATTCCGGGGGCAGGAGGACAATACAGCTCCTGACACCTGGGAGACCGTGGTATGAACTCAGCTGCCCTGGTCCAGGCTGGGGCTGGATTCCAGGAGAGGAGGTGGGTGTGGTCATTTTTTCCCACTCACTGAGGTCTTGGTCTTCCATGGGCTTCTTTCTTTTGACTGTCCTCCAGCCGCCAGGTTGTTTCCCACACCAGGCCTGAGTTAGGGACCGGACTCTCCATGGCCATGAGCATCCTTCTTTGCTTCTCTACACCCACCATTCCTGCAGAGGCCCCTCCTTTCTAGGAAGAGGGAACCTCTCCAGGTGCTGCCAATAGCTACAATGAGATTAGATGTGAATACAAGGGCCAACCTAGGGGAAAGGGGATACGATAGGGCATTGGAGAGGAGACTGGGAAGGAAAGTCCCGGGCTGGCTATGCATGGGCATGTGACCCCCAGTGCTTTATTTTTAGTGCCAACTTATAATATAACACCTTCTCCTCCTTACTTCCCACATCTCACACCATGCAGCCACCACCACAGCAGACAGCACAGTGCAATCGGAAGAGCACACACAGACTTGGGGCACACAGACCTGGTTTGACTCATGTCTCTGCCATTTACTAACTGTGTGGTGTTGGCCAGGTTGCCAATTCTTTGGGGGACTTGTTTTCATTATATATGTAGAAGGGGACAGTAGTATCTACATTATGGTATCACTGGGAGGATTACTTGAAATCATGCATGTAAAGTGCCTGGGGGCCAGGCACAGTGGCTCACACCTGTAATCCCAACACTTTGGGAGGCCGAGGCAAGCAGATCACCTGAGGTCAGGAGTTCGAGACCACCCTGGCCAACATGGTGAAACCCCATCTCTGCTAAAAATACAAAATTAGCCAGGCATGGTGGTGCACACCCGTAATCCCAGCTACTCTGAGGCAGGAGAATCACTTGAACCCGGGAGACAGAGGCTGCAGTGAGCTGAGATAGCGCCATTGCACTCCACCCTGGGCAAAAAGAGTGAAACTCGGTTTCAAAAAAAAAAAGTGCCTGGGACCTGTTGTTAGGGGTTAAACTATGCTCCCCGCTCCAAAAAATTCATACGTTGAAGTCCTTACCCCCAGTACTTAACAATGTGAGTATATTTGGAAACAGGGTCTTTAAAAGGGTAGTTTTAAGATTTAGTGAGTAGTTAAGATTTAGTGAGGTCATTACTGTGGGTCCTAATACAATTTGACTGACATAAGAAAAGGAAATTATGACACAGACAGCCAGTCGCAGTGTCTCACGCCTGTAATCCCAGCACTTTGGGAAGCCAAGGCAGGCAAATCACGAGGTCAGTAGTTCGAGACCACCCTGGCCAACATGGCGAAACCCCGTCTCTACTAAAAATACAAAAATTAGCTGGGCGTGGTGGCGGGCACCTGTAATCCCAGCTACTCAGGAGGCTGAGGCAGGAGAATCGCTTGAACCCAGGAGACGGAGGTTGCAGTGAGCAGAGATCACACCACTGCACTCCAGCCTGGGAGACAGAGCGAGACTCTGTCTCAAAAAAAAAAAAAAAAAAAAAGACACAGACACACACAGGGGACAACCACATGAGGACACAGGGAGAACAGGACCATCCGCAAGCCAAGGAGAGAGGCTGCAGGGGGAGCTGATCCTGCTGACACCTTGATCTTGGACTTCCAGTCCCCAGGAATAGGAGAGACTCAGTTTCTGTTATTTAAGCCCCCTAGTCTGTGGTACTTTGTTACAGCAACCCTTGCAGGGAACAGTCTTCAGGCTGATAATCCTAGAGAAAGCTTGGCCCCCAAGGCTGTCCCAAATCTTCCCCAGTTCCCCCCAGGACTATCCATGTAAGAGAGACTTAGGCTCACTCATCTGAGCCAGTGACATTATGGACCCAAGAATCAAAAATAAGATGAGTTGGGAGTGAGTACGAGAAGACACAAATTTTCTTTCAAGTCATTGGTGCGGGTTTGGGAGTGGCAAAACGGGGGATGGAACTGTTTTAGTAAAGAAAAAAATAATCAAGCCATGCTGGTAGATCCCTAAACAATCTCGGCCTGTGATGACTTTGTCATTTTGAATGATATCTTTACTGATATTTGTCAGTTTCTTCTATGAACTGCAGTTTTCACAGGTAACCCTGTGAACAAATGGGTTTCCTGTGAACCAGCACGCCCACATCTTTAGAATGTAGCCAGGTCTTCTGATTTTTCATTCCCTATTTTGGCAGTCAACAGACAGGCCACTTGTCTTCGCTGCTAAGGTGGAAGAAGTAGATAAAAGGATTTATTATCTGAACATTCCGGAACCTTCCAAACAAATCTGTTTTTTATCCCCCTCTAAAAGCTGGGCCACATTTTGCAAGATGAGAAGTACATTTTCTTTCTAAACCAGCTTGTCCATCTCTGCTTGGTTTACACAAGCATTGACTCCTTATTGAATGACGATCTACTAACCCACAGAGTAGGAGATTGCTATATCAGCACAGCAGTTGCACGCTGAAAATCCAGAGGATGAAGTGAGTTTGCATCATTCATCACTAGCATTCCGTGGTCACGTTGCAGCATCTCCATCACCAGCCACCCACTGGCAGGTCCTTGGGCTGTGTGAGAAGGGGACGAGATCAGCGTCCAGGGTAGAGCCCAGAGGGAACCACAGGCAGCCCCTCTGCTCACAAGAGGGGCCCATGCTCCCCACAAATGAGGCACCCCGTGGCTGGGGCACCAGGCTCATCAGGCAGATTTCAGCCCTCACAGTTTGCACAGCCTTAGAGCCCACACAGCCCTGGACAGCATCAACCACTATGAACTCCACAGCAAAGGTAGCAGAGTGTTCAAAGTGATGCTTTGGGTTCCAAGCTACTTTCAATGGGACGGGAAATAGTCTAGAACCTGATCCACAACCTGTGAGCCTTCTCACCATCCCCACCAAAAAATATAAAGAGTGGGCCAGTTGAGAGACATGATTTTGAAGAGAAGATTGCCTGAGGGGTGTCTCTGTGGAGAAAGCTGTGCTTCCTGAAGGGAAGTGGGGGCCTCCCCTCACCTCAAATTCGTGGGTTTCCACAAAGCTTCTCAGAGAGCTCACCCTGGGATTCCCTCTCACTGATGGCAGAGAAGGCCAGAGCCCTTACCATCCAGGAAATCCAGACGGTGGGTGTCAGGCTGCAGGAGGCTGATGAAAGCCCCAACCGTGTCAGGCCTAACCCCTGGAGCCTATAAATGTGGCCTTATTTGGAAAGAGGGTCTTTGCCAATGTGATTAAATGAAGGATCTCTGGATGGGGAGATTATCCGGGATTAGCCCTAAATGAGATTACATGAACCCTAAATGCAGTTAGCCATTTCCCTACAAGAGAGGGGTAAAGGGAGGTTTGCCCAATGCAGAGGAGACGGTGATGTGACGCAGAGGTGGGGACTGAGTGATGCGGCCACAGGCCAAAGGTTGTCGGCAGACACCACGAGCCGGAATCAGCAAGCTGGGGATTCTCTCGACAGCCGCGGAAGGAGCAGGGCTGTGCCCACACCTTGATTTCAGCCCCCTGATCGTGGTTTTAGACTTCCGTCCTCCAGGACTGTGAAAGAATAAATTTCTGTGTTAAGCATCGTAATTTGTCGTAATTTGTTAGAGAACCACAGGGAACTAATGTACAGGATGACTACTGCCTGCTTTTTAAATTATTTTATTTATTTATTTATTTATTTATGAGACAGAGTTTCACTCTTGTTGCCCATGCTGGAGTGCAATGGCACAATCTCGGCTCACTGCAACCTCTGCCTCCTGGGTTCAGGCAATTCTCCTGCCTCAGCCTCCTGGGTTCGAGCAATTCTCCTGCCTCAGCCTCCCAAGTAGTTGGGATTACAGGCATGTGCCACCACACCCAGCTAATATTGTATTTTAGTAGAGATGGAGTTTCACCATGTTGATCACGCTGGTCTCGAAATCCTGACCTTAGGTGATCCACAAGCCTCAGCCTCCCAAAGTGCTGGGATTTTGGGCATGAGCCACCACACCTGGTCCTGCCTGGTTTTTTTAAATAAATTTTTGTGTGTGTGGACTGGGCACAGTGGCTCAAGGCTGTAATCTCAGCACTTTGGGAGGCAGAGGCAGGCTGATCACTTGAGGTCAGGAGTTCAAGACCAGCCTGGCCAACATGGCAAAACCCCATCTCCACTAAAAGTACAAAAATTAGCTGGGCATGGTGGCGTATGCCTGTAATCCCAGCTACTCAGGAGGCTGAGGTAAGAGGATTGCTTGAACCCAGGAGGTGGAGGTTGCAGTGAGCTGAGATCGCACCGCTGTACTCCAGCCTGGGCAACAGAGTGAGACTCCGTCTCAAAAATAATAATATTTATTTTTGTAATGACATGGGGTCTCACTATGTTGCTGATCTTGAACTCTCGGCCTCAAGTGATCCTCCCTCCTCAGCTTCCCGAAGTGCTGGGTTTACAGGAGTGAGCCACCATGTCTGGCCCTGCCTGCTTTGATGCCAGAACCAGGAGCATGCAGTGGGTTGGGGTTGGCCTCCCTCCCAGAGCTTGCGGGGGCAAGCCACACAAGAGGGTCAGAACCAGCTGAAGCCACACAGAGAGGTAACCAGCATGAGGTCTGCTAGGGGCCTGACCTATAAGACCACCTGGAGGGGCAGAAACCCTAGCAGCAAAAAGCTCGAGGTAAACCCAAGGGACCAAAGCAAAGAGTCTCAAATGATCACCAATAAGAGACTCCAGGAAGTGCAGACCCACATGGGAGCCCCGGCAGGAGAGAGGGCAGCTTTCAACCACAGCCAGACCCAAAGGATGCACAGCAAGCTGCCCATGCACCTACTCGGGTGAGAGCTGTCCTGGGCCCTAAAACCCCTCACCCAGCTCCAACCTTGGGAGAAGGGGCACAAGGAGCCACAGGAAAGGACAGAAGCCAGCCTCATCCCTTTCCCATGCAGACTTCCAGCCCTAAGCAGCCTCAGCTGGAGCAAGAAGAATGGTTTGAAGTTTTGACTAATATCTTGGCCTGGACATTGAAATTCCAAATGGAGACTGGTTTTTTTTGTTTGTTTTGTTTTGTTTTGTTTTGTTTCCATTTAAAGCAACCATCAGACAGACTATTTCCTAAGAGGAGCAGAAAAGTCCAAGCCTGCCAGGGTCTGGGAACATGAATCCGGCTGAATAAACTTCAGAGGGGCAGCACAGGACAAAAGCTAAAGTCGCCTTCCAATTGCATTGCAAGCTGTGCTCGTTCCACACACCGGTTGCACACAGGCTGGTGAAAACATCTTCAGTGGAACTGAGAGGAGCCAAGTTCCCGTGAAAGGAAAACATGCAAATCTGTTTTCAGTATCACTTTTAAGCTTCCTGAGTGGAGTCTTTGGCCTGGAATGACTCGCATTGACGTCAGCCCGAGGCAGCCATATCGCAGCAGCTGCCATCCCTTCCTCACCCGCGGCCTCCGGGGCAGAAGACACACTGGTTTTGTTTCATGGGAGATTAAAAACAGTTGCTGCTGTATCCATAATTCACAACCCCTGTGATCACCGGGGCCAGGAATACTGAGCAAAAAGCACAAGGCGTCCACATTAAAACCAAGGGCAGCCGGGCGCAGTGGCTCACCCCTGTAATCCCAGCACTTTGGGAGGCCAAGGCGGGCGGATCGCCTGAAGTCAGGAGTTCAAGACTGGCCTGGTCAACATGACGAAAACCCTGCCTCTACTAAAAATACAAAAAAATTAGCTGGGCGTGGTGGCTCATGTCTTTAGTCCCAGCTACTTGGGAGGCTGAAACACAAGAATCGCTTGAACCCAGGAAGCGGAGGTTGCAGTGAGCCGACATCATGCCATTGCACTCTGGCTTAGGTGACAGAGTGAGACTCTGTCTCCAAAAAAAAAAAAAAAAAAAAAAAAACACCAGGCCTGGTGCGGTGGCTCATGCCTGTAATCCCAGCATTTTGGGAGGCCGAGGCAGGCAGATCACCTGAGATCAGGAGTTCAAGACCAGCTTGGCCAACATGGCAAAACCTATCTCTACTAAAAGTACAAAAATTAGCTGGGCGTGGTGGTGGTGGGTGCCTATAATTCCAGCTACTCAGGAGGCTGAGGCAGGAGAATCGCTTGAACCCAGGAGGCGGAGGTTGCAGTGAGCCAAGATCGCGCCACTACACTCCAGCCTGGGCGACAAGAGCGAGACTCTGTCTGAAAAAAAAAAAAAAACAAGGGGAGACCCATAAAAAAGATGCCAGAGATGGGGATCATGGTCAGCTGGGACCCCGCCCAGGGCACTACACGCTTGCTGGTTCTCCTGAGCCTCAAGGCGATGGGATCTACACCACACATCTGAGGCTCTGATAAACTGCTGGAAACATGGGCTTATGCATGATGCTGCTTTGTTTTACGGCACTCTGTGAGGGAGACAGGGCAGGTACCCCACAGCCCGGAATGGACTCCTCTTGCCTCTGGTCTCCTACCAGAGCAGCAGTCCCCCAGGAGGAGAAAACAAGCTCCTTCCCAGGGCTGCACTGGGGCTGGTGGCAATGGTGGCAGTGTCGATGGTCATGTGGCCTGCCTTGCACTGGTGGCCAGGACCCTGACTCTACTTTGAATCTTCTGGTTCCTTCCAGCATCCAGGACAAGGCCCTGGCAGTAAAGCCCAGCTCCACACGGCTCCTGCAGCATGGAGCTGGTTCTCCTCCAAAAGTCCTGAGAGATGTATCATTTATCAAGCTGGTAGATAATTCTGCCCCTTTCTGTAGTGCCTCTCAGACATATCCCATAGGTAATTGTTGCTTGAAGCCTCTATTAAAATGTGAGGCGACAGAAGCCAGTAGACTGTGTATCCCTTTCCTTCGTTTACTCTCAGGTTAAAATGGTCTTTCTGACTAAGCCAGTGATTGGGGCATAAGGGAAGGAATGTGAGTGTGGGGAAAGGGAGGTGGGGGAGAGGGCTGGTGTGCACTGCTGCACTCCCTGTGGTTTTGAGATCCTTCAAATAGAAGCTGTGAATATGTGGCTGGGTGCAGCGGCTCATGCCTGTAATCCCAGCGCTTTGGGAGGCCGAGGCGGGCGGATCACTTGAGGTCAGCAGTTCAAGACCAGACTGGCCAACATGGTGAAACCCTGTCTCTACTAAAAGTACAAAAATTAGGTGTGGTGGCGGGTGCTTGTGATCCCAGCTACTCGGGAGGCCGAGGCAGGAGATTTGCTTAAACCCAGGAGACGGTGTTGCAGTCAGCCGAGATCACACCACTGCATTCCAGCCTGGGCAACAGAGCGAGAGACTTTGTCTCAAAAAAAAAAAAAAAAAAAGCCAGGTACAGTAGCTCACGCCTGCAATCCTAGCACTTTAGGAGGCCAAGGCGAGTGGATCACCTGAGGTCAGGAATTCGAGACCAGCCTGGCCAACGTGGCGAAACTCCGTCTCTAGTAAAAATACAAAAATTAGGCTGGGCGCGGTGGCTCATGCCTGTAATCCCAGCACTTTGGGAGTCCGAGGCGGGCGGATCACGAGGTCAGGAGATCGAGACCATCCTGGCTAACACGGTGAAACCCCGTCTCTACTAAAAATACAAAAAAAAATTAGCCAGGCACAGTGGCGGGCGCCTGTAGTCCCAGCTATTCTGGAGGCTGAGGCAGGAGAATGGCGTGAACCTGGGAGGTAGAGCTTGCAGTGAGCCGAGATCGCGCCACTGCACTCCAGCCTGGGCGACAGAGTAAGACTCCGTCTCTAAAAAAAAAAAAATATATTAGCTGGACGTGTTGGCATGCACCTGTAATCCCAGCTACTCAGGAGGCTGAGGCAGGAGAATGGCCTGAACCCAGGGGGGCGGAGGCTGCAGTGAGCCTAGATCATGCCATTGCACTCCAGTCTGGGCGACAAGAGTGAAACTCCATCTTAAAAAAAATAAAAAAATAGAAGCTGTAAACATATGGCTGTGCCTCAGGACTGCCCGGCTTCAGCACTGCTCTGAAGTCAGGGCCGGCAGAGAGCAGAGCTTACTACCAGAGGACGTGAGTGTGAATCCTGCAGCTGGCTGCACCACTTGTCTGAGCGGGACACCAAGCCCAGCTCTGGCTACTGCCACTGCTTCTCCCTAGGGGCCTGCCCCAAGCCCCACTCCTGGGCTGAGGTCTGGCCCCTCCCCTCCCCTTGCTAATCATAGTGCCCTGTCATAGGTGATGTCATTTCCCAGTACACTGAGAAACGCGAGGGTGGGAGCTTTGGCCTGTCCAAATCCCAGCACCCATCACATAAAATGCAAAATGAAACACACCAACCACAGATAAAGTCCAGATGGTATTCTTATTGCTGGCATTGCAATATCAGTAAGTATCAGCAAGTAACGATCATTCCCCACACCTCCCTTTCTTGGGTCTAAGGAAAACTTGTAAGGTTGTGTGGATCCACGTCGAGGACTGTCTGCTTGGAGGTGGGAGACTCTTCTGGGGAAAGGCAGATGGTGAAGAAAAACAAGAGCTGTTTTGCTGTTGTTGCTTTTAATCAATCTTTTATTCACAGCTACAAACTTTAATCAATTATGGATAAAACACAAAAGCTTTTTGAAATGCTGATAAAGGAACCCATACCGAGAGACCAAATAAAATCCGAGTGCTGAGCTGGCCATGGGCTTGGCAGGTCAGCAGCACATGGAGGCACAGAGATGGTGGCACCAACAGAAAGGAATGTGGGAAAATTTTGTCCCCCAGATAATATGAATAGAACAGTAAAATGAGGTTCAGGGTTGAAATGGCAAAGCCAACGTTGCTGTCATTCTCTTGGGTCCCTTCCATGTGCTGGGCTACGATTATAAATGGGGCATGCTGGCTGCATGCCAGGGGCTCCTGGCCTCCAGGAGACAGACACTGTCACACCAGGCTGAGCAAGTGCCATAAAGTCAGGGATTGCTTGGGGCCAGGAGTTAAAGACCAGCCTGGGCAACACAGCAAGATGCCATTTCTACAAAAAAAAAAAATAATAAATAATAATTATATATATATATATATATATATATATTTTTTAGCCAGGCGTTGCAGTGCACGCCTGTAGTCCTAGCTACTTGGGCAGCTGAGGTGGGAGGATGGCTTGAGTCCAAGAGTTCGAGGCTGCAGTGAGCAATGATCAAGCCAATGCACTCCAGCCTGGGTGACAGAGCAAGACAAGACCCCGTCAATCAATCAATCAGTAATAAAACAGGCCACTGGCCAGATTTGGCCTACAAGGCAGTAGTTTGCCTGCCCCTGGTTCAGATTAGAAAATATAGAGTTGAAATCCACTAGCATAGTCCCTCCAAGTCCTGCTTTTCTTCCCCCTTCCTATTCCACATGCCTGGATATTTTGTCATATCCAGTGATTCCAAGACATTGCTAAATGATCTGAAGATTACAGTGAGCTTGCCTTCATCTAAGCTCAAGAGACTGCAGTGCATAAAGATAATTTGTTCAACAGAGTGAGAACTGCTTTGCCAGGAGCGCTGAGTGTTTTAGTAATCAATCAATCAATCAGTCAGAGAAGAACTCATTAGGCGCATGGTGCTGTTCCACACTGGAGATGTGCAGAGCGTTGAGGCTGGATCCTCACAAGTGTTGAGGCTGGATCCTGGCACGTGGGTTGGTGAGAAATTCCTACTTCCCTATTGCCCGGGTACTCATTGCAGTTTCACACAGTTTTAGTTGTGTATAATCCTTGAGAGTCACATTTTCCATTTCTTAACCTATACAATGAAGAAATTCAACTAAATGGCAATGTGATTTTGTGTGTGCACCAGGGGACTTCTCAGCGAGGGCTTCTTGGAGATGTCTTGAAGGCGGCCATGTGCCATGTACGAGGACTGGCCTCAGGGCAGGCTGAGCCATGGGGGAGGGCTCTTAACTTGAGCCCCAGAGATGGAGGCTGTAGTGAGCCATCATCTCGCCACTGCACTCTAGCTGGACAACGGAGCAAAACGCCATCTCAAGAAAACAAAAGTATTCATTGTTTATATGAAATTCAATTCAAATTTAGCTGAGCATCTTGCCTGTTTATTTGCTAAATCTGGTAGCTCTCTAGGGAGAGAAGCAAGTTCACATTTGAGTGTCTGGACCTCCCAGCAACATACTAGTTGGTTCCTACAACCTGTGCGTGGGCATCAGTGCATGGAAATGGCGACAGGGAGAGATAATAAAACAGAAATAGAGGAGGGTAAGTAATTGAAGCCTCAGTATTTTTGCTGTCATTGCAAGAAGAAGGAAATGCTCTGACATATGGTGTAGATGAAGAGTTGAAAACTCAATGTCAGCCAGGCGCAGTGGCTCACGCCTGTAATCCCAACACTCTGGGAGACTGAGGTGGGTGGATCACCTGAGGTCAGGAGTTTGAGACCAGCCTGGCCAACATGGTGAAACCCCGTATCTACTAAAAATACAAAAATTATCCGGGCGTGGTGGCAGGCGCCTATAATCCCATCTGCTCAGGAGACTGAGGCAGGAGAATCGCTTGAACCCAGGAGGCGGAGGTTGCAGTGAGCCGAGATTGTGCCACTGCAGTCCAACCTGGGTGACAGAGTGAGACTGTCTCAAAAAAGAAAGAACAATGCCACAAGGACCTGGACAAGGAGTAAAAGTAAGTCAAGTGGAATGGATATAGCCACAGGGAACAGTGGGGACATGGGACACTGCGGGGGGTGCATGCCCCGCCTAAGAGGTCTGCTGGTACCTCGCTCCAGCTCACTCTGCCATGTGATCTTCAGGGCTCAGTGTGGAAGAGCTGATTCTCCTCAGGTTGACAGTCCTGGTAACCTCAACTGTGGATAGTGAGGCTGATTTCAGAAAGAGTTTTGGAGAGCCCGCAGAGTTCATGAGTAAAGCTGAATATAGTCCCAGCCTCAGCAAATGAAGGCTCCTTCAGCACTAAACCAACTACAAGCTTCACCTGGAAGCAGCACTGCCAGATAAACACAAGACACCCAGTTAAATGTGAACTTCAGATAAACAATGAATACCCTTTCTGTATAAATACATCCCAAATATTGCATGGAACATATACCCAAAAAATATATATTTGTTGGCCAGGCATGGTGGCTCACACCCATAATCCCAGCACTTTGGGAGGCCAACGTGGGAGGATTGCTGAAGCCAGGGGTTTGAGACCAGCCTGGGCAACATAGTGAGACCCCATCTCTACAGAAATAAAATAATTAGCTGGGCATGGTGGTGCACACCTGGTAGTTCTAGCTACTTGGGAGGCTGAGGTGGGAGGATAACTTGAGCCCAAGAGATGGAGTCTGCAGTGCACTCTGATCCTGCCATTGAACTCTAGCCTAGACAACAGAGTGAGACTCTGTCTCAAAAAAAAAAAAAGTATTCATTGTTTACATGAAATTCTATTCCAATTTAACTAAACGTCTTGCCCTTTTATTTGCTAAATCTGGTAGCTCTCTAGAGAGAGAAGCAAATTCACATTTGAGTGTCTGGACCTCCCAGTAACATGCTAGGTGATTCCTATGTACTCTCCTTGATGCCAAAAGATGGATGTTCTAGAACCGTCTTGGCCCCTCACCAGTTGTATGTTCCCTGTCCCTCTGAGCCTCGGTTTCCTCATCTCTTAGGTGGACATGGGAATTCCTATCTCACAGGATTGTCACAAGGATGAAATGGAGTAAATGTAACGGCATATCGTACGGTGTCTGAGACAAAGCAGACACGCAACACATGTTTGCTGCTGAGTGAAATTCCTCACCCTCAGAATGACGCTTTGTTCTCTCACTGAACCTGTCAGGACCCGTCCAGGCTGAGACCAGGGGAGCGTGTCACTCCCACAGTGGCAGGCAACATCATGTGGTCTTCAGGGCCTTCAGGGGGAGCGAGCGAGGAACACAGGAGCTGTGCTCCTGGTGAACCATCCAGATAACAGTTCAGAGGAGAATGAGGGCCCTGGCTTTCTGTTCTTTGGGGTTGGAAGCCACGAGTACAGAAGACTCCTTTTCCATTTGGGCTTTGCCACCATTCTTCAGCAGCATGGCAACTGCTGCCAGCAGCACAAGGATGGTTTCTAATGCACCCAGAGAGTTCTTTGAGGGGCTCGAAGAGACCGAGGACCAGCTTCAGCCACCTTCCCCCCTCCGGCCTGAAGCCTCTCGAAAGCCAGGCCTGAACACGGAACAGCTGGGAAGCCTTCGAGCATTCCAAAGAAGAAATGGAACTTGGGGCATGAAGAGCTTCATTTTATCTGCTTCCTTCCCTGGATGCCTGAAGGGTGACACAGGAGGTGCCTGCCAGCGCCGCATGCTGGTCCGCCTGCAGACGGCCCTGTCCACGCACACACAGACACGTCCCAAATATTGCAGGAAGATCTCTTGAGGGAGCTCATTTAACTCGGCTTCCCTTGGAAATAAAAGTGACTGAATTCTTTCACTAGGGCTGCCATAACAAAGTGCCACAGCCTGGGTGGCTTCAACAACAGAAACGCCTTGTCGCCCAGTTCTGGAGGCAGGAATTTGAGATCGAGGTGCCAGCAGGTTGGTTCCTTCCGAGGCTGTGAAGGATGGATCTGTTCCAGGCCCCTCCTCGGCGTGCAGGTCTACACGTTCACATGAAGTTCTCCCTTCACAGCCGCCTGTGGCCAAATGTCCCCTTCCTATAAGGACACCCATCACGTTGGATTAGGACCTACCCTCACGACCTCATTGTAACTTAGTTACCTCTTTAAAGACCCCATCTCCAGGCCAGGTGCGGTGGCTCACGTCTGTAATCTCAGCACTTTGGGAGGTCGAGGAGGGTGCATCACTTGAGGTCAGGAGTTTGAGACCAGCCTGGCCAACATGGCAAAACCCCATCTCTACTAAAAATACAAAAATTAGCCAGGCATGGTGGCATGCGCCTGTAACCCCAGCTACTCAGGAGGCTGAGGCAGGAGAATCACTTGAACCCAGGAGACAGAGGTTGCCGTGAGCTGAGATCACACCACTGCACTCCAGCCTGGGAGACAGAGTGAGACTCCGTCTCAAAAATATACATATATAAATAAAATAAAATAAAATAAAAATAAAGATCCCATCTCCAAACAGGGTCACGTTTTTAGGTACAGGGGATTAAGACTTCAACATATGAATTGGGAGTGGAGGGGGACAGAATTCAACCCACATCAGTTAACTTATTGGAAAGAATAAAGTCCATTAATCCAAAAGTCTGCTGTGGTAGATATCACAAATATTCCTCTTCTACATGGATGAATCTCAAAATAATTATGCTGAGTGAAAGAAGCCAGACCAAAAGAGAACATGCTGTGTGATTCCATTTATATCAAATTCTAGAAAATGCAAACTAATCTATACAGCAGCAGAAAGCAGATCAGTGTTTGTCTGGGGATTGAGGAGTACGGATGTCACAGGTGTGGAGATGGCAAAGGATCCCAAAGAAACTTCCAGCAGTGATGGAATATTCATTATTGTGATTGTGGGGGTGGTGGTTTCATGGGCATATGTGTGTGTCAAGCTTATCAAACTGTAGACTTTAAATATGCATATTTTATTATGCATCAATTAAAATTTCATAAAGAGTTAGGGGTTTTTTAAGAATAAATATGGCCAGATGTGGTGACTCAGGCCTATAATTCCAGCCCTTTGGGAGTCCAAGACAGGAGGCTTGCTTGAGGTCAGAAATTTGAGACATAGTTGGTCCAAGTGTTGTAGGTTATTGTTAAGCTGATTTAACATTGTCTCCCAAAATAACCACACCTGACTAGCTATTAAAAAAACAGTTTAAGACCAGGCTGGGCAACACAGCAAGACCCCATCTCTATTAAAATATTGTATAAAAATTAGTCAGGCATGGCGGTGTGCACCTGTAGACCTAGCTACACAAGAGGCTGAGATGGGAGGATCACTTGAGCCCAGGAGTTCGAGGCTGCAGTTAGTTATGATCAAGCCACTGCACTCCAGCCCCTGGACAGCAAAGTGAGACCCTGTCTCAAAAAATAAATAAATAAACGAACAAATATTCCACTTCTTCTTCCCTTCTGTTCTTTTGTTGGGCATGTGGTAGGCATGTACTTACTTCCCTGTTCCCTTCAAAGTAAGGTGTGGCCGTGAGACAAGTCTTGGCCATGAGATGCTGGCAGAAGTGATAGGTGTCACTCACAGGTGGATGTGTTAAGAGCCAGTGTGTGATTCAGCACTTTCCCTTTAGTGCCATCCCTGCAATCATGGAAGGATGAGTCAAGATGGAACCTCCAACCACCTGGGTCCCTGCCATGACCAGCGCCGCCTGCTGACCTGCGCTAGATGTACATCACCAGTAAAAAAAACCCTTTGCTTTTTTAAGCCACTGAGATTTGGGGCTTGCTTATTACTGCAGCATAACCTAAGCTCTGCGGACAGTCACCTACAAGTGTGAGAGTCTGTCATTCAGCTGTGGCCCCGCTGGAATCAGGCAGGAGACGGAAGCCACACAACTAGAGGGTGAACCTAACTAACCACCCAGACTCCTCCCCTCCCCAAAGCCTTGCTATACTCTGGTCCTTTTTGCAACACAGTAATATGCATAAAGGGGTACACACTTGCTTTTCTGTGTAAAAATGGCCCCCAAAAGAAAGCTAGCTGCTGGTGGTGGCAGTGGAAGTGAGAAGGAAGGCAAGCAGTCCAGCAAGCTCTGAAGGTCAGAAGCGGGTTGTGTAGCCGGAGGCAGAGGTTGCAGTGAGCCAAGACCACGCCACTGCACTTCAACCTGGTGACAGAGTGAGACGCCGTCTAAAAAAAAAAAAAAAAAAGAAGCGGGTTGTGTAAATGACATTGGTCCTGTATTCGCACATCATGGCATGGAAACCGTGTCTCACAGCTGCCAGTTTTGTCTTCCTACATTGTTGGAGGGGGTCATATGCTACAGAGGTGGTCTTGAATTTGAGGAGTCACCAAAGCATCAGAATTTCTATGATGCCTATTTAGCAAAATGCATTTCAAACACAGGTGATCTTCCTGCACAAAGAGGCAGACTGTAATGAAGAGAAGACACGAGGCTTGCTTCGTGCCACCTGGGGAGAGTGTGGAGCCATGGTGCTTGGTTTCAGCAACTCCGCCAGCTTTCTCTGGGCCCCCTGGCAGACCCTGAGCCTTCCTGGCCCCTGAGGTCTATCCATCAAGCTGGCTTACATGGCCTCTGAGGTCCTCTTCAGCTTGAGGTCCTGTGATCATTCAGGGCTGGGCATCTCATCTCCCGCCCATGCCTTGGTGCTTCCTACATACAGGACATTCTATGACACACTTTATGTAATTCTGAGTTATTCCTCACAGCAAGCCTAGGAGGGATATGCTATTATAATCCTGGTTTTACTCCTCATGAGGAAACTGAGGCTTGACAAAGTCAAGTAATTTGCCCAAAGCCACATACCCTTACAAGACAGAGCCAGAAATGCAGTCCTGATTTTCAGAGCGTGTGCTGCTGCTTCTCAAGCACATGCTCAGATCACTCCACATTCTTTCTCATGGATTTTTTTTTTCATTTTATCTTTGCCTTTTGTTAGTAGTACGAAAAAATTACGGTTTATTGTGGGTTGTCTGGATGATACCCTCATAACCAGGAATTGCCCTTCCATGTTGGAACCAGCACCTCCATTTGTGCTCACAATCCGGCTCTAAGGGGTCTCCTAATGAAACTGCATTTAACATTTTTTTTTTGGGGGGGGATGGAGTCTCGCTCTGTCTCCCAGGCTGGAATGCAGTGGCGCAATCTCAGCTCACTGCAACCTCCGCCTCCCAGGTTCAAGCGATTCTCCTGCCTCAGCCTCCTGAGTAGCTGGGATTACAAGCACCTGCCACCATGCCCGGCTAATTTTTGTATTTTTAATAGAGACAGGGTTTCACCATGTTGGCCAGGCTGATTTTTAAAATACTTTATAAAAAAAAGAAAGAGAGAGAGAAGGAAGGAAGGAGAGAGAGAAAGAGAAAGAAAGAAAGAAGAAAGAGAAAGAAAGAAAAGAAAGAAAGAAGAAAGAAAGATAGAAAGAGAGAGAGAAAGAGGAAAGAAAGAGGAAAGAAAGGAAGGAAGGAGAAGGAAGGGAGGGAGGAAGGAAGGAAGAAAGGAGAAAGAGAAAAAAAGGAAAGAAGGAAAGAAGGCAGGCAGGCAGTGGAGACAGTTATCCCCATCCCCCACCCCCCAGAAATAGAAACATTTAAGAGCTCCAAGTTTTTAAGAATTATTTTAATACACTTTTCCTGCGAAACTCAATTCAAGGCAGCTTCAAGGTAAAAATGCTTATATTTGGCATCTGTCCTTGTATTTTTAGGCACCTTGATGCATTCACACTCACTACGCTCACACCCAGAAGACCCCCAAGAAATCCGCTTCTTTGTGCAGATAAAGGAAATGCAAACTGGTCATTCTGGAAACCAGGGTCAATTCTAGATTTCTAGAAGCCTGGCTGTGGGCCTCAAGGCCCTTCATGAAAGCAAGGGCCTCAGATTGACCCTTTCCAAGCATCCCCTACCAGGAGGGGAAGGGCACAGATTCTCAAGGGACCGTGGTGCATGCAGGTAAACCGAAACCTCTAGGCTGGCACGTGGCACCACTGCCCTGGGAGACAAGCCATCCCCGCTCTCTGTCTGGATGGCCTGGTCAATGCAGTGTAGATCATGGATGTGATTTCTCTCACTGATATTCGGGGGATACAATTTAAAATGTATCCAAGTATCTGATGGAAATAAGAGGGAGCTACAGAAAATGACTCAAGCTGAGGACATATAGGAAGGAATCGGTTCAGGTGTAAGGAAGGATTTCTGGGGAACTTTCTTCCTTGTGTTCATCCCTCCCTCTTTACATAAGGTCTTGAGTCACGAGCACCTTGTGTTAGATGCTGGGCTACAAAATGATCAAAACAGAAGGCCTGCCCACTGAGAATACACACTTCCCTGGGCCACATCCACCCTCCAAAGTAATCCCACCATAACAGGGCAGCTGTCATCATGGAAGGACTGCCCACGTGCAGAGGGGCCCAAGAAAGTGGTCTTGTCCTCAAAGCAACTTGAGATGAGGATCCTGTGTCATCCAACAGCTACAGCTTAGGCAGATGAATAGCGGCTTCCCTGGGCCCAGGCAGTCCTCCAATTCATAAAAGCAAACAGGCCTGGGGCAGTGGCTCACGCCTGTAATCCCAGCACTTTGGGAGGCCTAGGCAGGCGGATCACAAGGTCAGGAGTTTGAGACCAGCCTGGCCAACATGGTGAAACCCCGTCTGTACTAAAAAAAATACAAAAATTAGCCGGGCATGGTAGCATGCGCCTGTAATCCCAGCTACTCAGGAGGTTGAGGCAGGAGAATTGCTTGAACCCGGGAGGCGGAGGTTGCTGTGAGCTGAGATCACGCCACTGCACTCCAGCCTGGGAGACAGAGCAAGACTCCATCTCAAATAAAAAGGAAGGAAGGAAGGAAGGAAGGAAGGAAGGAAGGAAGGAAGGAAGGAAACAGAATAGTAGGTTGCCAGCTGGACTGGTTCTAGAGGTTGGAGAGGCCAAGTTCCTCCCATGACAAATCAGGAAACTGAGGACACACTTTCACGGCCAGTTCTCCAGCAATGTCCACTAGCATCCCAGGCTCTCTATCTACCTAAACAAAGTCGATTCCCCCTGCCTAGCAATTTAATGTATGAGGGTTTTTTTTTTTATGGTAATGAGTTGGAACTGAATACACACTAAAATGCAGCGCAAATCACTGCGATGAGAGCTGAAAAATGCTAATCTCTCTCCAACATCTTCAGTGCCATTCTCCTGAAACTACCTGCTCCAGCAAGGTTCCCGTGGGTTAATTATTGCTGCAGAGGAAATTGCACTGATTTGCATCTGCTTTCATCGGCTGGAACCAGCGCATGTCAGTCCTGCAGGAACAGACCTGGGTTAACCTGTTGGCTGCTTCAGGCAAGAGGGACACCGAGTTGCAGGCTGCCTCTCCACCCCGCCAGTGCTGTTTCCCAGCCTCAGGGCACCT
Organism: Homo sapiens; assembly: GCF_000001405.40. NCBI lineage: Eukaryota > Metazoa > Chordata > Mammalia > Primates > Hominidae > Homo > Homo sapiens. Next base: position 235,060,868 of record NC_000001.11, read on the forward strand.
GCAGAGATACCAATCTGGTTACCTGTTCACCTGTACTTTGTGCATCTGATACTCCCAGAGCCTGCCCACCTGCTCTTTGCAATGCAGCAGCAGCAAATCCCAGGCCCCAAGCTCAAGGCCTGGGATTTAATTTGCCCTATTTGAAAGGTCCCATTCCTACCTGGTGAGCTCATCAATAACTATCAAAGCCACCTTTCTTCCCCTCCAAGAACCAGCCTTTCTACAGTGACTGGCTCCAAATGCAATTTCAAAATCTGGCTGGCTCCTGCAGAAGCCAGCACAGCCTCCCAGATGGGAGTAGGCCATCTCTGAAGGCGGGGCGAGTTACAAAACAGAATCCCCATGCACTAAGAGAAAGAAGAGAGAGATTGCTATAGAGGACTGGCCTCTGGGGCTCTGAAGACCTAAGTCCTCTGTTCTCAGATTGCATGGGACTTGAAAGCTCCTGGCTGTTGGTCTCCTGTGTGTGTAACAGGGTACCTTCTCTTTCTCAGAAAAGGAAAAGTCTGTAATCCATGCATTGATATGCAAATGTATGTTTACCCAGGTGAGGTGTATTGTGGGAGAAACCCCTGGGATAAGTTTCCACTCTGCACATAACCTTTATTACAGTATTCTTGTTTCACTGGGCTACTCAAAGGGTTTAAAAATAAAGTTTCACTTGCATACTACGTCTGGCCTGCAGAAATCTTTCACTGAGCCGTGTTTTAACCAAAAGCACTAATATTATTATGTTTGCATTAGCATGTGTGGGCTGTCGTTAGGTGCTTTTGATTATAATGACAGCACCAAGAGTCTTAAATCTAGGTAGCACCTGTTCTGAATGATCCTCTGATGATATTGAATATAAGCAAAATAAGTATTTCATATTATTGATGACAGATTGGATGTGACTGCATTTTCTCTATGAAAGATGCTGAGCAACTCTGCATCAATAACTGTGTGGAGGACTCCAGGATTTGGTTCATACAGGAACTCCTTTAATAGTGCTTAGCTTACAAGCTCTCCAGGTTGGGGATGGAGCCTCAGTTAGATTGATACAGTTTGCAGAGTGCCTGGCTTAGTCGATGTTCAATAACATTTGGGGCAGGAGGGAGTGAATAAAGGTATACATGGGTGAACAAAATAACACAGTCTAGGCTGGGCACGGTCGCTCACGCCTATAATCCCAGCACTTTGGGAGGCCGAGGTGGGCAGATCACAAGGTCAGAAGTTCAAGACCAGCCTGGCCAATAAGGTGAAACCCCATCTCTACTAAAAATACAAAAATTAGCCGGGCATGGTGGCGGGTGCCTGTAGTCCCAGCTACTCAGGAGGCTGAGGCAGGAGAATCACTTGAACCCAGGAGGCAGAGGTTGCAGTGATCCGAGATCATGCCCCTGCACTCCAGCTTGGGTGACAGAGCGAAACTCTGTCTCAAAAAATAAAAAATAACACAGTCTATCCCTTAAGTAAAACCAGGTTGGGCGGGAAAGGCTGCAGCCACCGGTGAAATCACCCCTAGGTCAGGACACTCAGCAAGAGAAGGTGGCCTGCCTTGGAGCCACCTGAATACGCAAAATGGAGTCAAGTATCTGCAGAGGAATTTGGCAGAAAACGTGTGGCATATTGTATGACCTGTTTATAGAGATCGTCCTGAAAAAATAAAAAAAGGTTGAGGACTCAGGAGGGCGTAAGCAATGACTAACCTAGTTAGCTAATTACGGGAGTTACACAAACCGGCTTCAGGGTAAAGTCCATTCAGGGGTTACTCAAGACCAGCCCCACCCCCAACAGGTACTGTGGAGGCCCGCAGCCGAGCTGGGCCCGAGTCCCTTCCTCCACATGCACACCCCTTCCGGGCTGCACATCCAGGTGCCATGCCATCTCAGGTTGCTGATACATCTGTTGGCTTGTGCCCCGGCTAACAGCCATGACTGAACCTCCCAGTGTGTGATGATGGCAGTTCTCACCTGGAACAGCACAGAAGGGCAGCCTGCTGGCTCTACAGCTCTCTTGGACCCCCATCCTCCTACAGACCCTCCACTTCCCTTCCCCAGTAACCTGGACTCCTACCCAGGAGTTGCCAACCAATGCACTGGCTGAAAGTGGAGGCCACTTGGAAGGCTAAACTTTGTGGATGTATCAAATGTCCTTCCTGAGACAGCCCCAAAACAATGCAATTTCCTTTCTCAGCCATCGCCCCAATAAAGAAACACCGCTGTGGATGCATCTAGTCATGGCCAACTGAAACGGCATTCTAGACACCTTGGTCTGCCTTTGCAAACAGCATGTGCACACCCAGGGCACACTGCACACACTTGCACATGCCACACTCATGCACGCTGCTGAGAGAGGGTGGGCATGAGGAGGGCCCTGGAGTCTGACGGTCACAGAATGCTCGAGACTGCATTATCCTCTAGGATCTTGTCCTTTGGCAAAATGAAACTCAGAGGGTCAGAGTTTCAGAGTGTCAGGAAATGACAAAGCTGAACCTCAAGCTCTGATGTTTTGGCCACAAAAGGAAATGCAGGCACAGCCAGATGCCTAGAAAAGGGGAAAAGAGGGCTACCGTGCTTCTTGGATTCCTGCCCGATTTTTCTCTTTGACCATCACTAGCCATGAAGAGGCCCTAATAACCAGGCCCCTTTGTAACTTACCTGGAATATTGGAGGGCTCACTTCCACACATGTATTGAGGGTCTACTATGTGCTATGCACTGTGCTAGAAACTGAAATGTGCCAAAGCAGTTCTTGCTCTCAGGATGTTTATATCCAGCAAGTGAGCAGCAGAAAAACAAAGAATGGCAATAGAGCAATGGGGAAAATAAGAGAAGACATACATATGTCAAAAAAGTACAACTGGGCCGGGCGCAGTGGCTCATGCCTGTAATCCCAGCACTTTGGGAGGTTGAGGCGGGCGGATCGGGCCTGCCTCCTAGAGGTCAGGAGATGGAGACCATTTTGATCAACATAGTGAAACCCTGTCTCTACTAAAAATACAAAAATTAGCCGGGCGTGGTGCCGTGCACCTGTAGTCCCAGCTACTCAGGAGGCTGAGGCAGGAGAATCACTTGAACCCAGGAGGCGGAGGTTGCAGTGAGCCAAGATCACACCACTGCACTCCAGCCTGGGTGACAGAGCGAGACTCTGTCTCAAAAAAAAAAAAAAGTGCCACGGCGTCTCTCTTAGGGAGGAAGCTGGGGAAGCTTTGCAGCCATAGTGACATCAGGTGAGGATTTTGCAGGAAGAATGGGAGCTGTCAGGAGGGTGAAAAACGGCGTTATCCCTGGCCAAGGGAACCATGCAGGTGGAACTCAGTGATAGAATAAGGCAGCAAAGTGGAGTCAAGAATGACATCCAGGCCAGGTGCGGTGGCTCACACCTGCAGTCCCAGCATTTTGGGAGGCCGAGGAGGGTGGATCACCTGAGGTCAGGAGTTTGAGACCAGCCTGGCCAATGTGGTGAAACCCCCTCTCTATTAAAAAGACAAAAAATTGGCTGGGCACGGTGGCTCACACCTGTAATCCCAGCACTTTCAGAGGCCAAGGCGGGTGGATCACCTGAGATTGGGAGTTTGAGACCAGCCTGATCAACATGGAGAAATCCCATCTCTACTAAAAATACAAAATTAGCCAGGCATGGTGGCGCATGCCTGTAATCCCAGCTACTCAGGAGGTTGAGGCAGGAGAATCGCTTGAGCCCGGGAGGCAGAGGTTGCGGTGAGCCGAGATCATGCCATTGCACTCCAGCCTGGGCAACAAAAGCAAAACTCTGTCTCGAAAACAAAAACAGACAAACAAACAAACAAAAAAAATTAGCCAGGCATTGTGGTGGGTGCCTGTAATCCCAGCTACTCAGGAGGCTGAGGCAGGAGAATCGCTTGAAAAGGGGAGGCAGAGGTTGCAGTGAGCTGAGATCGCGCCATTGCACTCCAGCCTGGGTGATAACAGCGAAACTCTGTCTCAAAAAAAAATTAAAAATTTAAAAAAAGAATGACATCGAGGTGTTCTGTCTTGGACAAGTGGGTGAATCATAGCACCCTTATCCCACATGAGAAATACTGAAGGACAGGCAGACATATAGAGTAAGATGGTGAGTTTATTCCCCCACCATCTTGAATTCGAGTTATCTGTAGGATAGTCAGGTGTAGGTATTAATGTGCACCTGGACAAGTGAGTGTGGAAAAGAGTGTAGAGGAAAGAGGCCAGGTAAGTAACCTCAGCAAGAGAATGGTAGACTGTGGAGTAGATGGGGTAAGGAAATGAAGATGGAGCATGTAGGCTACTCCTAAGCTGGTGTAGTTAAATAAGGAGAAGAGCAAGAGTCCTGCAGGCTTATGGAATACAGCCATTGGGTTTCTAGCACGAGGAAGGGATGGGTGATCCTCCATTGATGTGAGGCCAAGGGTGCGCATGGACAGGCCAGCCTCAAATAGGAAGGGGGCTGTTCTCAGCTCCTGGAGAGAAGAAGAGAAAGACAAGTAGGAGAGGAGGGAATCAGGGAAGTAGGGACAAAGGGGGACAAGAAGTTGAGAACTGTGTTTTGTTCTCCCTATGAAAATAAGCTTAATGAAAATTGCCTAGCTCATTAGGTTGTTTTTTAAATGACCAGGTAAATTCGTCTTTATTTTATTTTATTTTATTTTTTCTGGCCTGGCACAGTAGCTCACACCTGTAATCCAAGCACTTTGTGAGGTCGATGCGGGTGGATCACTTGAGGTCAGGAGTTTGAGGCCAGCCTGGCTAACACGGTGAAACCCGGTTGTCTACTAAAAATACAAAAAAATTAGCAGGGGGTGGTAGTGCATGCCTATAATCCCAGCTACTCAGGAGGCTGAGGCAGAAGAATCGCTTGAACTTGGGAGGCAGAAGTTGCAGCGAGCCCATATCACACCACTGCACTCCAGCCTGGGTGACAGAGCTAGACTCCATCTCAAAAGAAAAAAAATAAAAAAATAAAAATCTCTTTTTTTTTTCTTTGAGACAGGGTCTGTGGCCCAGGCTGGAATGCAATGGTGTGATCATAGCTCACTGCAGCCTCAAATTCCCAGGCTCAAGTAATCCTCCCACCTCAGCTTCCCAAGTAGCTGGGACTACAGGTGCGTACCACCATGCCCAGCTAAGGTAAAAGCATCTTTAGAGAAATAAACTAATTCTAAGTGTACTCTAATCATACCTTTCCATATGATACATACATTTATTGATTATACAGCAAATGCCTTGGGGAGAAAAGATTCCCTGGATCTGGCAACACTGAATTATTTCACTGAGATTCCTCAAAACCATGAAAACAATCAGTTTCAGCTGATAAATACATGAAATGTCAAACACTATGAAGATTTCGACTATCCCTACTTAGAATAATCAAAATCAACCAGGTGCGGTGGCTCACGCCTATAATCCCAGCACTTTAGGAGGCTGAGACGGGCGGATCATGAGGTCACGAGATCGAGAATATCCTGGCCAACATAGTGAAACCCTGAAACCCTGTTTTCTTTTATTTTTTATTTTTTTTAGATGGAGTCTCTCTCTGTTGCCAGGCTGGAGTGCAGTGACGCAATCCCGGCTCACTACAACCTCTGACTCCCCGGTTCAAGTGATTCTCCTGCCTCAGCCTCCTGAGTAGCTAGGATTATAGACATATGCCACCATGTCCAGCTAATTTTTGTATTTTTAGTAGAGCCGGGGTTTCACCATGTTGGCCAGGATGGTCTCGATCTCCTGACCTCGTGATCCACCCACCTCGGCCTCCCAAAGTGCTGGGATTACAGGCTTGAGCCACAGCGCCCAGCCTACCCTGTTTCTACTACTAATATATACAAAAATACAAAAATTAGCCAGGTGTGGTGGCACGCGCATGTAGTCCCAGCTAGCTACTTGGGAGACTGAGGCAGGAGAATCACTTGAACTTGGGGGGCGGAGGTTGCAGTGAGCCAAGATCGCGCCACTGCACTCCAGCCTGGGCGGATGAGCAAGACTCCATCTCAAAAAAAGAAGAATCAAAATCTGTGAAAACATAACATAGATAGCTGCTCATCTGATTAAAAGGCTCTCTGCTTTCATGTCCTATTCTTACAAACTCAAGAACTTGACACAAACTTCAACCTCCAAATAGAGAAGCAGCTCCACTGTACAGAGCCAAGTAAAAATGCCTTTGGTGGCTGGGCACAGAGGCTCACACCTGTAATCCCAGCACTTTGGGAAGCCAAGGGGGAAGGATCACTTGAGGCCAGGAGTTCAAGACCAGCCTGGGCAACATAGTGAGACTATCTCTACAAAAAAATGAAAAAGTGAAAAAAAATTGCCTTTGGAGACAGAAGTTTGAGGGCATTTTGAAGACTTTTATGTGCGGAGAAATTTCAAGCTTGAAAGATCAAAAGGCAAGAAGAAATAAATATATCCAGTATTTTGAAGGATCAAGGGATCAAACTGCTCATTTGACCAACTGGAGACTTACAAGAGCATTGGAATGTGGGTCGGATCCAATGTGGATAAACTCAGCTATGGGCTTTTAAACCCATTACCCACTGGGAACAGGATTCTGAAGGCAAATGGCAGGTGTGTGAATAGGTGTAGGGCCCACATGATAGGCCCTGTCTGGCAAACGCCCAATGGCATGCTACACCAAATGAAGAAAACAGACGTGAGTTCCCTGTCTCATGGATCCCCTGGGTTCACACTGCAGGGCACATTGCAAAGGAATGAGAGCACCCACCACTGCAAAGGGAATACCAGAGCTTGGGCCAGAGGGCAGCACAGTAGCCCTCCCACTGCTTATGAAGAGGAGGTTAAACTTCCCCACCAGAAGCCCTGGGGCAAGAGAGAGGACTAGACGGGAGGAGGGGAAAAGCGTGTCACCTGGCACCGATGACAGACTCGTCAGCGAGAGCCAAACCAAGCCCTTCAGTGAGTCACACAAACTGTGGAGTTTGAACTGAACATCTACAAGGAGCGTGGAGGCTGAGCTTCTCAAGAGTCCTGCTTGCTGTGCCAGGAGCATTCCTGTGGTCCTGTCAGGGTGCCTGGGTGGGGCTTCACTCTGGGCTCCAGAAGCTACTGCTCAAATGCCGCATCCTCTCAGCAGGACAACCAAAAGCTGGGGAGAGGAAAGGGAGAAGACTCAAGGGAACATGACCCTGACTTCCCAGAAGGATGAAGCCACAGATGCCACCGCACCTGGCTGGGAGCCAAAAGTCATGACGTGATGTGGGAGCAAATTCCAGAAACTCTTGGGCAGGAGCTGAGGGCTTGAGTGTCCAAATGAGATACAGCCTCCTCTTCCTGATCCCATTCTTTTCCTCTTCGAAAGGTTCTTTGTGCATTTTAAATTCAAAGGAAGGGTTTGGACAAAAGGGAGGCTGTTCCATCCAGAAAGCGCATACTTGTCAGAACAAGCCGTCTGCCAGGGCGTCTGGCAGGGAAGGGCTGGGGGCCACGGGCTGACTTACCTGAAGTCCTCGGGCAGTGGCAGGGGCCCAGAGCACCTCCCCACTGTGAATCAGAAGGAGGGCATTCCTCCACTGTTACCAGCATCTCCATCTCCACCAAAACAAGCCAAGCCTTTCCCTTTCCCACGTTCCTGGGTCGAGAAGCAGGTGTGGTCCTTTGCAGCAAGTTGACATCAACGAAAAACACATTCCTTGGCCCTTCGATTCCTATTGACACACGCAGTTTCTGAGGCTGAGTTACACCTGACCTCTGGGTCAGTCCCTGTTTACTCATCCGCACAACCCACTCATTTATCAGATAATGACCCAGCCCTTGGATGTGACTCCTGCTCGGCCCCAGGAGGAGTGGGCAGTGTGTCAGGGAGACCTCCCTCAAGGGGCTCGCAGGCTGCCCCGCACTGGCGATGGCACCCAGGAGGACCTTTGCATGGTATCTACTCATATAAAACATGCCCCTCCTGACCCCCGCCTCCTCTTCATTTATTTCCTTGCATTTATTCATTCATTCAAAGGATAGATATTGGGTTCCCCTGGTGCCAGGCTCCACAAAAACTTTTCAGGGGAGCGAGGTCCAGTGGCTCACACCTGTAATCCCAGTGACACTAGAGGCTGAGGCAGAGGAATCCCTTGAGTCCAGGAGTTCAAGACCAACCTGGGCAATATAGTGAGACCCCACGTCTACAAAAAAAAAAATTGAGACAGGGTCTTACTCTGTTGCCAGGCTGGAATGCAGTGGTACGATCTCAGCTCATTGCAGACTCAATCTCCTGGGCTCAAGTGATCCTCCCACCTCAGCCTCCACAGTGGCTGGCACTGCAGGTTCACACTACCACGTCCAGCTAATTGTTGTATTAAAACAATTTTTTTAAATTAGCCAAGCATGGTGATGCACACCTGTAGTCTTAGTTACTCAGGAGGCTGAAGCAGGAGGATCACTTAAGTCCAGAAGTTTGAGGCTGCAGTGAGCTATGATTGTGCCACTGCACTCCAGCCTGAGCGACAGAGCAAGACTCTGACTCTAAAATAAATAAATAAATCAGAATAGAAAAGTGTGGAGGATGTAATGGTGAACCAAAGCTGGCATGATTCCATCTCCCACATAACTTACCTTTCAGTAAGAGAAGACATCAGAAGCAAGCAAGCGAATAAATAAGCCAGATAGGTTCTGTGAATAAGAAGGGCCTCGGAGAACATCAAGACTGGGAGAGGGGCTTAGTCCTCTCTGAGGAAGGGACGCAGGCCTTAGGGATGAAGGGCAAGCACATTTCAAGCTCGGTCCCCTGAGGAGGGGAGCCCAAAAGGAAGCCGTGATGGGGGGTTCGAGCTGCCGGTGTGAAATGGAAGGCTCAGCCAGACGAGGCATGTCCTCGCTCATCAGACACAGGCACGCTCTGGCCCAGAGCAGGATGGCCTCGGGCCTGGCCTCCACCCATGGGGCTTCCTCCTCTGAGGCAGAGAACTTTGAAAAGAAGTCACCCACGTGGCTTGCTTCTAACTCTCCCAGAAAGGCAGCAAATGTGGCTTGTTATACTAGGGAGAGAGGCCGTCTCGGTGAGGACACTCTGGTGGCTCACGATTGGCCTGATTTCCTCAGATGACGCTGGATGGTCAGAGGCCGCTGACCCTCCAGTCCCTGTCCCCTAGGGACCCCGGCCAGCGTCAGTGGCCGGTCAGCTCCTGCCAACGCCTCCTGGAAACTGCACCGTTGCCCCACTCGTGGGTAAGACCCCATGTAGTCCTTGAGCTCTTTTTCTCAGGAGGGGCTGATGCATGCACGGCCAGGGCCCTGGGCCTGGCTGCCCAGCTCATCCTCGCTTCCAGAAACTCCCCTTCTCCCTGCTGCATGGGACTGGTGCCAGGCTGCATCGTGGTTTGGCTTGGGAGCAGCGTGCCTCCCTCCTGAACGTCGCAGCTCCGTGTGCTTCCCGAGGTGACGAATGACCTTGATTCACATTGGTGAAGTAATGGCTTTCCTCCTCAACCTTCTCATCCATTAGTCACGTTGCAACACGGCCCTGCATGGCACAGAATGCATTCCCAGGAGCCAGCTCAGGGAATTGCAAACACCTGCCAGGCTCGGCTTACCAAACTCACAGTCACACAGTCAGCCCAGGTGCCCGGAACTGCCTTGGCCCGCTGCCACCAAAGGCCCCACAGCAGGGACTTGGGAAAGTCTGAGAGCAAAGGCCAAGGACTGGAGCTTAGGTCCAGGTCTCCCCTTGCTCCGTAACTTTGGGCAAATGACTTAACCTCTCTTAGCTTCTGCATCTATACATCGCCAATAACGCTACGAGCACTGGGGAAAAGCAAATGAGAAAGTGGCTGCAGAAGTATTTTGTAAGCTGTTATAAAGCACCAGACAAATGACAGTGGTTCAGTCCCATGGAAAAACTGGTCACAATGGGTGACCGCTGGGTCATTACCCAAGGAGTTTTTTGTTTGTTTGTTTGTTTGTTTGTTTGTTTCTTGAGACAGGGTCTTGCTCTGTCACCCAGGCTGGAGTGCAGTGGCACAATCACGGTTCACTGAAGCCTCAACCTCCTGGGCTCAGGTGATCCTCCCACCTCAGCCTCCTGAGGAGCTGGGACTGCAGGTGCATACCACCACACCTGGCTAATAATTTTATTTTTTGTACTTGATCTTAGCTAAAAGGCTGAGAAGTGATATAATTTTATCTTTTGTAGAGATGGGGTCTTACTGTGCTGCCCAGGCTGGTCTCAAATGGCTGGGCTCAAGGGATCCTCCTGCCTCAACCTTCCAAAGTGCTGGGATCACAGGCATAAGTCACCAAGCCCAGACACCTAAAGATGGCTCATTTCTATGAGGAATAGAAATGATGTCCCTGAATCCATTTCTGGGACATGGAAAGACATAACACAATGTTTCTAGTACAGGTTGAATATGCTTCTCATTTAAATACCTAGGGGGCTAGGCACAGTGGCTCATGCCTGTAATCCCAGCAATTTGGGAGGCCCAGGCAGGAGGATCACTTGGGGCCAGGAGTTCAAGACCAGCCTGGGCAACAGGGCAAAACCCTGTCTCTACTAAAAATACAAAAATTAGCCGGGCGTAGTGGCGCATATCTGTAATCCCAGCTACTCAGGTGGTTGAGGCACAAGAATCACTTGAACCCAGGAGATGGCGGTTGCAGTGAGTCGAGATCACACCACTGCACTCCAGCCTGGGTAACGGTGCAAGACTCCATCTCAAAAAATAATAAACAGCTTGGGAATCACAGTGTTTTGGAGTTTGCATTTTTTTGGATTTTGGAATATTTGCATAATATGCTTATCAGTTGAGCATCCCAAATCCAAAAATCCAAAATCCGTAATGCTCCAATGAACATTTCCTCTGAACATCAGGCTGATGCTCAAAAAGTTTCAATTTCTGGAGGATTTCGGGTTTTTGGTTTGGAATGCTCAACCTATATATCAGTAACTAAACTTCCTGTGTAAAATCTGAGAAACAAACCCCATGCCACATTGCAAAGCATTGTAATAAGATGCCAAGAAATATCTATAGGTGTATGTATAGTACAACCTCTGCCCCAAAATCATTGCTTGGAGACTTGGGATTGGAACCTACATTGCATTAATGGCTATTATTTGAGCCTGCAATGAGATACAGTAGGTGGGTTCAACAGTGGACTCAGATGCCTGTAATCCCAGCTACTCGGGAGGCTGAGGCAGGAGAATCGCTTGAACCCAAGAGGCGGAGGTTGCCGTGAGCTGAGATCGTGCTACTGCACTCCAGCCTGGGTGACAGAGTGAGACTCTGTCTTAAAAAAACAAAAACAAAAACAGTGGGCACCATCTTCCCAAGAAATCCTGAATTATGTATCACCTCCCCTAGCATCCAGAATCACACACGGCCCCACAACCCACAAGGTCCTCCCTACAGGACCACACCCCTGCTCACCACCCTCACATCCTCTCTTGCTACCATCCAAGAGCAGCGTCCTCCCCCAAGCTTTGGACAGGCCACCCTCATTCCCCTCTCAGGGCTTTTCCGCAGTTGTTTCCTCCCGCTGGAATGCTGGTCCTCTGGTCTGGGTCCTTCTGCCCTTTGCGGAGCTGCTCGTGCAGACACCTTCTCTGATTCCCTATCTAAAATTTTTGCTCAGCCAGGCACAGTGGTTCATATCTGTAATCCCAGCACTTTGGGAGGCTCAGGTGGGAGGATCCTTTGAGCCCAGGAGTTCCCAGCTTGGGCAACACAGCAAAACCCCATCTCTACAAAAATATTTTTAAAAATTAGCCAGGCATGGTGGTGCACACCTGTAGTCCCAGCTATTCAGGAAGTTGAGCCAGGAGGATCACTTGAGCCCAGGAGTCTGAGGCTGCAGTGAGCTATGATCACACCACTGCACTCCAGCCTAGGAGACAGAGTGAGACCCTGTCTCAAAAAATAAAATAGCCAGGAGCAGTGGTTCACACCTGTAATCCTAACACTTTGGGAGACCAAGGGGGGTGGATCACCTGAGGTGAGGAGTCCAAGACCTGCCTGAGCAACATGGTGAAACCCCGTCTCTACTAAAAATACATTAGCCAGGCATGGTGGTGGGCGCCTATAATCCCAGCTACTCAAGAGGCTGAGGCAGGAGAATTGCTGAACCTGGGAGGTAGAGGTTGCAGTGAGCCGAAATCATGCCACTGCACTCCAGCCTGGGCAACAGAGTGAGACTCCATCTCAAAAATAAAATAAAATAAAATAAAATAAAATAAAATAAAATAAAATAAAATAAAATAAAATAAAATAAAAAAGTTGTTCCTCCTCTCCTACCCTCCCCTCTAGCCAATCTCTGTCCCATTATGCATTTTTAGTGTCCTTATAGCATGTCACTCTCTGAAATGATTTCTTCTTAATTTTATGTATTGACTGTCTCCTATGTCTCCTATGAACACCATAAAGGCGGGGCCACATCCCCCTCATTTACCACTGGAATGGAACAATTCCTGGGCCAGAACAGGGTGCTTAAAAAGCATCTGTTGACCCCCTCCAAGAGTCCAGTAACTTCAAGCAAGCTGAGCAGGAGAGCACCAACACCTCTCGAGTTGCCAATGGCCAGTTTCAACACCTCAGACAGTGGGGCCCACGGCCGAGCTCCTGCCATTGCATCTGAGGCCTCCAGTGCTAAGGGAGAAGCCCTGGGCCTCTTCCACTTTTGGCCTCCTTCTCTGCTGGAGCTGCACCAATTTCCACAGGAGTTGGTGACGGGGCACGAGTTGGCCCCGGTGCTCCACACCCAGAGCCCTGGGCAGGAGAGCACCTTCTCCCTTTCTTGGCCTCACCACCAGGACCGGCAAGCTTTTCAATTCCCCCATCTGCAAGACAGGGACAAAGAATGCTTTGTCACCCCACCTACTTCTCACGGGTGTTATGAAACAACTATTTGCTCGGAAAACACTTTGAGCAACTTGGGGAAAGGTGCCCGGGGCTCAGATGACGCCTGTTGCATTTGATCCAGGCCAAGGAAGGACTGTGCCAACTAGTCATCCGGTCACCGCCGCACCCCCCGGAGGAGCAGGAGGCACAGCAGCTTCTCCTGTGTCTCCAAGCCTGTGTCACAAAGCCCGTTGGCCGTGCCGTGGTCCCAGAATCTACCCACAAGGTGTGTGTGTGTTCCTGCCATTGGCCGTGCCGTGGTCCCAGAATCTTCCCACAAGCTGTGTGTGTGTTCCTGGGGCTGCCTGAGCCACTGGTTTCAGCAGAATCTGAGCTCTCTATGGGCCTGGACAGTGGCCTCCAAACACCCAGCCTACCCTTAGCCAAGAAGAAGGGCCGAGGGTCACCTGGGGATAACATACCTGAGCTCCTGCCCTGCCGGGCGGGGCTGAGATTTTGCTGCCAGCATCGCAGGCAGGGAGCTGGGAACAAAGGCAAGTAGTCTTGGCTCCCCAGCCTCGGGAGGGCAGATCGTAACCTGCAAGCAGGCAGGTGCCTCCTGAGCCGACAGCAGTGGCAGCAGCCACCTCGTTACTATGACAACCATACTTGGCCACCATCACTCTGTCTCCAAGAGGGGCCAGCCCCAACCTTGACCACACAGGGTCACCCAGGGCTGCCCAAGGTGGAGAATGGAGAAGAACCCAGGCGAAGGCAGGCCAAGGGCCGATGGACACACCTCCCCTTTAGTCAACAGCTCAATCTAAGCTTCAGACTGGACATTCGACTCAAAGGTGGGACAGGCCTCTCTCTCTCTCTGCAGCATTCACCCCAGGCTGCTGCTTCAAGATAAACCCCTCTCCCTGCAGGTGACTTCAGCAAGGCCTTTAGCAGACAGTGAACAGCAGACAGCATGCATGTTTAATTATAACTCTCTTGCATAGGCAGGGCTGGCTATATACAGTATGTCTGCCTGTTACTAATTATATTTACTTTCAAACGAAGTGGGGGAGATCTTCTGAAGATGAGTCAGAAAACAAAAAAGCCCTTCGTTGTTATGAAAGCAGGGGAACGTCTCCTGAGAGCGTCTGAGCAGCACTGTCACTGCCTGACAATGGAAAACCTGAGCGCCAAGGCAGCCAACCCAGTAAACACTGCACGCTGGCTTTCCTGGCCCAGCGTCCCTTCGAGCCAGTGCCTGAACTGCATACCAAACCACAATCAATAGGAAAGGCGTTCTCCCTCCCGGACAGAGTGGCATTTAGAGCCTGGCTGGCTCTTCCTGCAAAGACAGGGCGACTCGGCGATCTGCTGTCACCTTAATTGGGAGGCAGCGTTCCAGTTGAAACACAGCAAAGGTTTTTTCCCTCATCAAAGGAGAAGCATTCTGACCAGATGGCTGAATTGAAAAGGCTTCATCCTCAGCCTCCACACAGCCAACGGTGTTATTAATAACAACACTGCGAATGCCACAAATCACATGCGAACACCTAGAAACCCAAAATAGTCACCACACGCAGAGCAGTTGTCCGCGCCTTGGCGGCGATTAGGTCATTGTACTAATTTCAGCTGGACGCAGCCTCACACACATATGTGGACTCACATCCGTGTCTGTCTGTGTGTTTGAGGTCTGCAAGGGTGAGGTGCCCGCGGTTGTTTGAGGGGAACTGGTCCCCAGGCCCCACTCAGCCATCAGCTGCCTCTTCTGAGAAGACTGCGTGGGCAGCCCTGCCTCCTCTCCACACAGACGCCAGAGTAAGCCCAGCCGAGGGTGACACATCCGCCCAGGAGAGCCATGCAAACTCATACTGTTCAGAATGGGTTTTCCAATCGTTTTCTAAACAGTCACACTTGTTTTGTTTGCTTTCTTCCAGGAAGGCTGCACTGTTTTGGAAAAGTAGGGGGAGGACATTTTTTTAAATGAGTTCACTTCCTGAGTCTTTAAAATATTTCCCTGTAGACAGAGTATTGGGAAGCTGTGGCCAGAGGACAGAGCGGTCTCAGGTGGGCGGCACCCGGAGTATGAGGATCAGAGCGTGTCCCCCCACGCGCACTCTTCACAAGCCGGGGAACTGGAGTTGGCAACGAGACAGCAAGGAAGGAGCTGGGAGAGCATCCCTTCCCAAACCCCCATCCCACTTCCCACCACCCTCCAAGAAAATGTTTCTAAAGCCAGGTTGGAATTTGGAATGGGTTTTCCTGTTTGTCCGGGCAAGGTTGAATTGTGAAATCACATTATTCAAAAGAGAAGAGAAACAGTAGATATGAGAGACTAGTCACTGGAGATTTTATTAGGAAGGAATCATGAGGGTAGCCAGCATGAGTCAAAGTGCATTATTTTACCCGTTACTCGTGGTCGCCCTATGAAGCAAATGGTGGTGAGCCTATTTCACAGGTAAGGCCCCGAGAGGTGAGGTGGCAATCCCAGGGGCCCTCTACCCACTCCCACAGACTAAGTCGGCTTCCCTGCTGGACACCTTAGCAATCTGCACCATTCCTTCATTGCTGGAGTCATCACTGGAAGTGAAAGTTATTTGCAGGGTGAGTTGGCCTATGTCTGTCACTCCCCACTAGAATGAAAACTCCATGAAGACGGGGCTTGTCTTGCTCACCAAAGTACGCAGACTGGGCACAGTGCCGTGAGCACAGTAGCTTTGAAATATGTATTTATTGAAGAGATTAAAAAAAAAAAGCCAGGCATGGTGGCTCACACCTGTAATCCCAGCACTTTGGGAGGCCGAGGCAGGTGGATTACTTGAGATCAGGAGTTCGAGACCAGCCTGGCCAACATGGCAAAACTCCATCTCTACTAAAAATATATACATATATATATATATATATGCACAGTGGCGAGCACCTGTAATCCCAGCTACTTGGGAGGCTGAGGCAGAAGAATCACTTGAACCCGAGAGGCGGAGTTTGCAGTGAGCCGAGACCACGCAACCGCTCTCCAGCCTGGGCAACAGATCGAGACTCCATCTAAAACAACAACGACAACAAAAACAACGACAACAAAACCCTCTTGTTCTAAAGGAAGAAAGAAGGCCCAAAAAGAGAAACATGGCAACGCCGAGCATGCCAGCAGAAACATAACATGACCCACTTCAAAACCAGTGCCACAAACCCTTCCAAATTCACAAAACACTGGGGCCTGGAGGGCCTGGTACCTGGGCAGTGAATAGGCCTTTCCACTTCCTATCGAGGCACTGGACGGTATGCATAGGGAGTGTCCCCCCACATGCAGCAGATGGGGTACGAGTGCCCTTCCGACAAATGGAGAATCAAAGACAGAGACAGCAGTGCTTTATCCTGAAAGTAGCTCGAACAGCAAGGGCAGAGCTTGGCATCAGATCTGTCAGCCCTGCCCATAATTCCCTGATCAGATCACAGATGGAAGCAATGCTCTAGTTTTCAGAGCAATGGTCCAAATTCTAGTTTTACCCCACAAAGATTACACCCAGCCTCAAAGTGTGGGGACCTGGTCACTGAGAAAGCCTCCCTTTTCCCACCCTGGCTCCCCCTGCTCCCCTCAAAGCCCCCAAGCTTCACTAGAGTGGGTAATGAGATGAGGAAGAAGAGCAGATGGAAGAGCAGGCAGAAAAGGAGGGCTGGAAAGAGGAAGGACCCTCCCACCACCTCACCAAACTGAAGGCTGTGCTCCCAGCAGGCCTGCTGGGGTCTTGTCTTCCATGTGTTTTAAGGCACAAGCATTTGTAAAGGCCTGTTGGCTCATTGTGTTCCTGGCCTTGTCTTAGCACTAGAACTCCTCAGGAAAAACACAGAGCCCTGCCCTCGAAAGGCTTCCAGTCTCACAGCAAACCAAACAGTACAGCTTAGAGGTCTCCAGGCACAAAGGCTGCTTGCCATTCCTGGCTTTTCCATTCTCCCAAGTCCGGGTGAGGAAGTTGTGCTGTTCCAGCCTCAAACCAAGCCAGGCACTCCCTTTGGGCCTCTTAATTTCTGAATTCTGCTGGGTCAAGGTTTATGAGAAAGTGGATGCAGTCATTTCTAGGAGAAACAGAAGTGGGGAACTTGTAACACATCACCCCTAAGGAGACCACACTTGGTTCCTGGGTCACACCGAGTACATGGGGACAGTTTGACTCATCACATCTCCTTTCCTCTGGTAAGCGGCCCTCTGGAGCTGCGGCATAAATGCTGAGCCCAGGGCCCAGAAGAGTCAGGACTACCCTGTGGGCACCGTGTGTAACACACACCAGAAAATGCCCGAGACCCACGGCACGCGACTTAGCAGCTGTCACGGAGCACGAGAAAGCGCGCCTTCCACCATGAATTCTCTCTAAAAGCCATCTGACTACAGCAGCTCAGATGACTTTGTTCTTAGTGTTACATTTTAACTGACAAAGTTTAACAACAACTATGACTTACGGCCTTCTAAAATTGGCAGCAAAACAGGAAAAAACACAAGTGAAGCCACTCAGTACCATGCATGATTTCTGTTGTTTCTGAGCATGTGTGCATGTGTATATGTGTGTGTTATGTGTATGTGCATATGTGTATGTGTGTATGTGTGTAGGAATGTGTTGTGTGCTATGCGTGTATGTGTATGTTATGTGTGTGCTTGTGTGTTATGTGTATGAGTATGTGTGTATGTGTGTTATATGTGTATGTGTGTGTTGTGTGTATGTGTGTGTAGGTTATGTATGTGCTATGGTTGCATGTTATATGTTATGTGTGTGCATATGTGTTATGTGTGTATGAGTATGTGTGTTGTGTGTGTTGTATGTGTGTGTTGTGTGTGTGCATATGTGTTGTGTGTGTTGTGTTTGTGTGTTATGTGTGTGTGTATGGTGTGCGTTATGTGCATGTCTGTTACGTGTGGTGTGTATGTATGTTATGTGTGTGCTATGTGTGTATGTGTATGTTATGTGTGTGCTTGTGTGTTATGTGTGTATGAGTATGTGCATATGTGTGTCATATGTGTATGTGTGTGTTGTGTGTATGTGTGTTGTGTGTGTTCATGCATGTTGTGTTTGTTGTGTTTGTGTGTGCTATGTGTGCGTGTATGTGTGTGTTGTATGTATGTGTGTTATGTGCATGTGTGTTATGTGTGATGTATGTGTGTGTTTTCTAATGGTAGAAATATATTCCAGACACACTGTCCTGGTGTTCCCAAGCACATATTTATGCCAAGTTTATAAAAAGCAGCTGCAGACAGGACTGACTGAAGGCTCACTCTGCTGTCTGGCTTCCAGAAGGTGCATCGGTTCTCACTCTGTCACCAGGACTTGGATTTACCTTTTAAAACCCTCTAACTTTCTGCATCGTGCACCTGAAGGAGACACACCTGTGGCTCAGAGTGAACCAGAACAATGTCCACCTCTTCCCTTCTAAGCTTTCATAGTACACTTTTTATTTGAAACGTGCTTGAATGACGTGTGTTGTGATCATTTTTAGTCCATCAAAGTCCTCAAACAGATACAAAAAGGAAAGTGTTCCAAGGCTCATTTCACAAATATCTGGGTGTCTCAGAGAGGCAGAGTGACTCAAGCACAATCAGCGGTTTTCTGAATCCTTTAGAACATAGGGCAGAGGCCTCTGTGGGTCAGTTGAGGCCAAACTGTCTCTTCATCCACTGGCTCTGGTTTCAGTAAGATGCCCTTTTCCATCAGCCTAAGCCTCTCAGTCCTTCCCCACATACTCCCTGTGGTCTCTCCCACCCCGACCAGTGAGAAGCTCCAGCCTCTACTTTACCTGCCTTTGGTTCGTCCCCCACCCCAACACCCTGAGAAATCCGAGTGGCTGTCATCTCCTGTGCCCAAATCCACACACTCATCTGCCAGTTTTCTCACTGACCTGGGATAGGGACTCCACTTACTTCCCTCCTCCACCATGGGCTTAATAAAGACAATAATAACCTGCTTTGTAGCTCTCCTGGGGGTGACTAATTGGTTAATCTTGGGAAGGCCCTTTGAAGATGAGAAGCCGGTATTACTCACGGGGTTGAAGGCATGCACCTGCCCCAGTCTGGGCCTGAGTCAGCAGAGAATGGCCTCCCACCTGCAAGCAGGCTGGGAGAGCTGGCCGGGGCCTCTGCTCAAGGTCAAGGTTGGCCAACAGAGGGGTGTGGAGCACACACCTGGCACCTGTGGGAGGAAACCAAGAGGCCTTGGCGGCCTGCGCTGGGTGAGCCTTTCCAACTCTGGGAACTGTGCCCCATCAGCATTTGCAAGGTGTAATAAGCCTTCCAGTAACTCTGCCAAGAGGGCAGCACATGTCAGGAATAGCAATCGAGACAGTATTTCCTGGTAATTGTTTGGGGAAAATGCTTTTCTCATAGCAAAGCCCTCCCATTTTCTCCTTCCTCTGGAGGAAGGGGAGCCAGGGGAGGTAAGTAGGGCATAGAGCTGTGGGGCCTGAGATTTAGGATGCAAGCTGTGGGCAGCGGGGCTCTCTTCTTAAACAGCTCATGGGTATCCTCAGCCTGTCTCCTACTCATCTCTCCAAGGAAAAGGAAGTGGCAGCAAGAACTGGGAACCACCTAAATAAATTAAAAATAGAACTACCACATGATCCAGCAATCTTCCTTTTGGTTATATACCCAAAAGAGAGAAAATCACCACCTAGGAGAGGTAGCTGCACTCCCGTGTTCACAACAGGCAAGATAGGGAAGCAACCTAGATGTCCATTATGGACAAATGAGTAAAGAAAATGTGTGCACTCAACAGGAATGGGGAAAGAAAGAATGAAGAAAGAGAGAAAGGAAGGAAAGAGAAGGGAAGGGAGGCAGGCAGGCAGGAAAAGAAAGAGAGAGAAAAAGAGAAAGAAAGAAGAAAGAAAGAAAGAAAGAAAAAGAAAGAAAGAAAAGAAAGAAAGAAAGAGGCTGGGTGCGGTGGCTTATGCCTGTAATCCCAGCACTTTGGGAGGCCGAGGTGGGCGGATCACCTGAGGTTGGGAGTTCGAGACCAGCCTGACCAATATGGAGAAACCCTGTCTCTACTAAAAATACAAAATTAGCCAGACATGGTGGTGCATGCCTGTAATTCCAGCTACTCAGGAAGGCTGAGGCAGGAGAATCGCTTGAACCCGGGAGGCGGAAGTTGCAGTGAGCCGAGATGGCACCATTGTACTCTAGCCTGGGCAACAAGAGCGAAAAAAAGAAAGAAAGAGAGAGAGAGAGAGAGAGAGAGAGAGAGGGAGAGGGAGAGGGAGAGAGAGAGAGAGAGAGAGAAAGAAAGAAAAGAAAGAAAAAGGAGGGAGGGAGGGAAGGAAGGAAGGAAAGAAGAAAGAAAGAAAGAAAGGGAAGGAAAGAAGGAAGGAAGGAAGAGGAAGGCAGGCAAGCAGGCAAGGAAAGCAAGGAAGAGTGGGTGTGGTGGCTCACACCTGCAATCCCAGCAGTTTGGGAGGTCTAGGCAGGCAGATCGCTTGAGGCCAGGAGTTCAAGACCATCCTGGGCAACATGGTGAAACCCCATTTCTACTAAAAATACAAAAAATAGCCAGGCGTGGTGGCGCATGCCTATAATCCCAGCTACTCGGGAGGCTGAGGTACAAGAATCTCTTGAACCCAGGAGGCAGAGGTTGCAGTGACCCAAGATTGTGCCATTGCACTCCAGCCTGGGTGACAGAGCAAGTCTCTGTCTCAAAAAAAAAAAAAAAGGAGATCCACAACAAGAATGAACATGGAGGGAGGATAGGAAGGGTATTATGCTGAGTGAAATAAGCCAGACACAGAAAGACAAATACTGCACAGCCTTGCTTACAGGTGGAATCTTTTTTTTAAAAAAAGCCAAATACACAGAGATGGAGAATAAGACAGTTGTTACCAGTATTGGGGGTGAGGCAGAGGAAATGGGGAGGTGAATGCGGAAGGACACAAAGCAGCAACTATGCAGGATGAACAAGTGGAAAGATCTGATGTACAATATGAAGACACACTTAGTTAACAGTGTACTGTATCCAACATCTTTGCTAAATGAGTAGATTATAGTTGATTGTAGCTGCTCTTACCACAGGGGAAAAATACGTACCTATGAGAGATGACGGCTATGTTCATTTGCTCCACTCTGGTAACTGTTTTACTATATGTACATGTACCTCATAACATCACATTGTATACCTTAAGTATACACAATAAATTTTGAAAAAAAAAAAAAAGGGGCTGGGCGCAGTAGCTCATGCCTGTAATCCCAGCACTTTGGGAGGCCAAGGTGGATGGACTGCTTGAGGTCAGGAGTTGGAGACCAGCCTGGCCAACATGGTAAAACCCCATCTCTACTAAAATACAAAAATTAGCTGGGCATGGTGGCGCACGCCTGTAATCCCAGCTACTCGGGAGGCTGAGGCAGGTGAATTGCTTGAACCCAGGAGGTGGAGGTTGCAGTGAGCCGAGATAGCACCACTGCACTCCAGCCTGGGTGACAGAGACAGACTCTGTGTCAAAAAAAAAAAAAAAAAAAAAACTCATGCCTGTAATCCCAGCACTTTGGGAGACTGAGGCAGGTGGATCACCTGAGATCAGGAATTCAAGACCAAACCCCTTCTCTACTAAAAATACAACAATTAGCTGGGCGTGATGATGCATGCCTGTAGTCCCAGCTACTCAGGAGGCTGAGGCAGGGGAATCACTTGAACCCAGGAGGCAGAGGTTCCAGTGAGCCAAGATCACGCCACTGCACTCCAGCCTGGGCAACAGAGCAAGACTCCATTTAAAAATAAAAATAAAAAAAGAGAGGGCCAGGCGCAGTGGCTCACGCCCAAAATCCCAGCACTTTGGGAGGCCGAGGCAGGTGGATCACCTGAGGTCAGGAATTTGAGACCAGCCTGGACAACATGGTGGAACTCCTTCTCTACTAAAAATACAACAAGGAGGCTGAGGCAGGAGAATCACTTGAACCCGGAAGGCGGAGGTTCCAGTGAGCTGAGATCATGCCACTGCACTCCAGCCTGGGCAACAGAGTGAGACTCCGTTTCAAAAATAAATAAATAAATAAAAAAGAGAGGGCCAAGCGCAGTGGCTCATGCCTGTAATCCCAGCACCTTGGGAGGCCAAGGCAGGTGGATCACCTGAGGTCAGGAATTCGAGACCAGCCTGGCCAACATGGTGAAACCCCTTCTCTACTAAAAATAAAAAAATTAGCTGGGCATGGTGATACGTGTCCGTAATCCCAGCTACTCAGGAGGCTGAGGCAGGAGAATGGCTTGAACTCGGGAGGCGGAGGTTGCAGTGAGCCGAGATCGTGCCACTGCACTCCAGCCTGGGTTACAGAGTGAGACTCTGTCCTCCTCCCCACCAGCCACCCCCACCCCCCACTGCAAAAAAAAAAGAAAGAGAGGCCAGGTGTGGTGGCTCATGCCTGTAATCCCAGCACTTTGGGAGATTGAGGTGAGAGGATCTGGCTTCAACCCAGAAGTTACCAGCCTGGGCAATCTAGTGAGACCCCATCCCTCCGAAAAAACTAAATATTAGCCGGGTGTAATGGCATGTACCAGTAGTAAACTCCTGGCAGGAGGACTGCTTAAGCCCAGGAGTTTAAGGTTGCAATGAGTTATGATGGCACTGCTGCACTCCAGCCTGGGTGACAGAGCTACAGAGAGAGAGAGAGACAGAACTGAGAACCAGAAGAGGCTAAAGCAAGTAGAAGAAGGCAAGCGTCCCTTCAGACCACGCCTCCACCCACCCTTGACCCTGCGAGAGGGATTTAGACACAGTGGCAGCTGGGAAGCCAAGAACAGAACACATTAAGCCTTGCAACCTAATGCCAAGATTCCGCCCGAGAGACCCCATTTCCTGCCCTCTCTGCACATTCCTTCCATTCCTCCCAAGCACCTTCTCCCACTGCTATTTTCTTCTTTCTTCTAGAAAACAAGTCATGTGGCCAGAAGGATGTCAGGCACTTCTGCTTTCTCTTTTAGATTCCCGGGTTCTTATAAGGTTTTCCTGGCCTTCTCTCTGCCTGCAAAGCCCCTGGCACCGCAGAGGCCCCCAAAACACACAGGATGATAAAGCTCTAGAGAGACAGGATGGAAGCCTGGGTGCATGAGTGCGGGAAAGAGGGCACAGGGGCTACTAAATCTTTGCCCAGATGGCGGGGCGGGGCTGGGGGAGCAGAGCAGCAGCAACAGGCTGTGAAGTGATTTTGTTCTGTTCAGTTAGGAAGGAGGTGGGTGGAAATGACAGTTTGGAGCCGATCAGAACAGAGGAAACTGTTTCAGGAGAAGCTGCCTCCCTTCTCCAGTTCTAACAGTGCCATCAAGCGGCTCGAGGAGCAGGCGCAGGGCAGTGCCTCCAGACAACCTGAGCTGACCCCTCAGCAGAGGAGCACGAGGCTGGGCAGAGGGGCAGCTCTCAGCACCCTGCCTGTGGCAAGGGCCAGTCTTCAGCCTCCCAGACAGATGGCCAAACACCTTTCCCTAGAACGATCTGCAAGGAGGTGGGTAAGGTATCTCCCCAGTTGTAGGAATAATGCACAAGCACCTTGATGGATACGGACAGTCAAGTTTATCAAGGTCCTGCGAGGCGCTTCACTGGAACACACTGGGACAAATGCCATCGTCCTGTAAAAGGCGCCAAAGCACATTTTCAACCTGAGACGTGGTCAGTCACCAGGGCAAGCCTGTCAATGCCATCAGGCCCTTGTTGATTGATGTTCAAAGGAGAGCAGAGGACAAAGAGGACAAAAGGGCGCTGGGCAAAACCAGCTGTGACCAGCACACCAGGGGGAAGGCTCATAGGATCCTCCAAGCTAAATTTATTGTTTCACCTACTTCACTCGCATTCCTTTTTGAATTCTGCAAATCAAAATCTATTCACCTAAGAAATACAAGGCTGGGCACGCTGGCTCACGCCTGTAATCCCAGCACTTTGAGAGGCCGAGGTGGGTGGATCATACAGTCAGGAATTCGAGACCAGCCTGGCCAATATGGTAAAACCCTGTCTCTACTAAAAATACAAAAATTAGCTGGGCTTGGTGGCGCATACCTGTAGTCCCAGCTATTCGGGAGGCTGAGGCAGGAGAATCACTTGAACCCAGGAGGCAGAGGTTGCAGTGAGCTGAGATCACGCCACTGCACTCCAGCCTGGGCGACAGAGCAAGACTCCATCTCAAATAAATAAATAAATAAATATAAAAATTAGCCAGGGTGGTGGTGCACACCTGTAATCCCAGCGACTGGGGAGACTGAGGCAGGAGAATGGCTTGAACTTGGGAGGTGGAGGCTGCAGTGAGCTGAGATCACGCCACTGCACTCCAGCCTGGGTGACAGAGCGAGACTCTGCCTCAAAATAAATAAAGAAGGAAACAAAAGACTTTCTCAGCAGTTGTGTGTCTGGATAACCGCAAATGAGGAGGAGGTGGACAAGGAGGAGGGAGAACATTCTACAAGGAGCCCAGGACCCTAGGGTGGGTCCAAGCGCTGACATTAAGTCACTGTGCACCTCTGAGGAGGTAGCCTCACTCTCTCAGCCTCATGTTTATCAGGTGTAAAAACAGAGGCTTAGAACGAGATCCATAGTTTTCTTTTTTTTTGAGACAGAGTCTCACTGTCTTCCAGGCTGGAGTGCAGTGGCGTAATCTCTCTCACTGCAACTTCTGCCTCCTGGGTTCAAGTGATTCTCCTGCCTCAGCCTCCCGAGTAGCTGGGACTACAGGCACACGCCGCCATTCCCGGCTAATTTTTGTATTTTTAGTAGAGACAGGTTTCACCATATTGGCCAGGCTGGTCCTGAAATCCTGACCTCAGATCCACCCTCCTTGGCCTCCCAGAGTGCTGAGGTTACAGGCGTGAGCCACTGCATCTGGCCAGATCCATGGTTTTCTTTTTTTGTTTTTTGTTTTTTGTATTTTTTTGAGATGGAGTCTCACTCTGTCACCAAGGCTGGAGGGCAGTGACGTGGTCTTGGCTCACTGCAACCTCTGCCTCCTAGGTTCAAGCGGTTCTCCTGCCTCAGCCTCCAGAGTAGCTGGGATTACAGGCACCTGCCATCACACCTGGCTAATTTTTTGTATTTTTAGTAGATTCGGGGTTTCACCATGTTGGCCAGGCTGATCTCGAGCTCCTGACCTCAGGTGATCTACCCACCTCAGCCTCCCAAAGCACTGGGATTGCAGGCACGAGCCACCACGCTCAACCAGATCCATGGTTTTCAAAACCACAGCTCCTCAGACCCCAGGGGAGGGGAGGAGCTAACTGGATGGACTTTGGCCCCCATCTCAGTTTACCAGAACAATTCATTCATTCTTCTTTCATGTTTCGCGTTTAGGTTAAGATTTTATTTGAACAAAGTGTTCTGCAGTCTTGTGGGCACTTTTGGAGGGATCTGCCCTGCCCATGGCTCTCAGAACTGTCCCCCATGCCCACAGAGTTGACCTGAGGTCAGGAGTTCGAGACCAGCCTGAGCAACATAGTGAAACCCTGTCTCTACCAAAAAATACAAAAATTAGCCGGGCATGGTGGCCTGCGCCTGTAATCCCAGCTACATGGGAGGCTGAGGTGGGAGGATTGCTGGAGCCCGGGAGGTTGAGGTTGCAGTTAGCCTTGATCAGGTCACTGCACTTTAGAATGGGTGACAGTAAGACCCTGTCTCAAAAAAAAAAAAAAAAAAACTTAAATTAAAAGCAAAATGTTCAGTCAGGCGTGGTGGCTTACACCTGTAATCCCAGCATCTTGGGAGGCCGAGGCAGGCGGATCATGAGGTCAGGAGATTGAGACCATCCTGGCTAACACGGTGAAACCCCGTCTCTACTAAAAATACAAAAAATTAACCGGGCATGGTGGCAGGCGCCTGTAGTCCCAGCTACTGGGGAGGCTGAGGCAGGAGAATGGCGTGAACCCGGGAGGTGGAGCTTGCAGTGAGCCGAGATCGCGCCACTACACTCCAGCCTGGGCAACAGAGCAAGACTCTATCCCAAATAAATAAATAAATAAATAAATAAATAAATAAATAAAATGTTCAATACAGCATATCATATAATGACTCAGTAAATATTAATGTTTTTATCACTTCCATTGTTGATATATTCAAAAGTTGTTTGTAAATCATTCATGTTTTCCTGTTGCTATAAAATTAAATTTCAGAAATATCATGGACTACACCTACCAATAATACTATAAATTTTAATTTCAAAACTATTTTCTTATTCATATCTACTTGGACTATACCTACCAATAACATCTAATGCTTTTCTTTAAATTTATTTGTCCTAAAAACTTCCATCCAAGGACTTACATATTTGTAGATAGGCTAATTTACTCATTTGTCCACTTAATCTTTTTTTTAGATGCTCTGAGATTTACCAAAGAAATAGATGGCAAAAATCCCTTCACTAAGCGTTTCCAGGGTAGAATTTGAAGAAATCATAATTTTAAGTGTATATTTCGTAAATTAGGTTTCTTAGATTTGAGGTCACCTGAGTTCCCACAGTAAGAGATCAAAGACTCATATATTACCAATATGAGAAAAGGCCTCCAAAATTTGCATTTGTCACACTTTGGGTCACAGCCCAGTCGTGGGACCTGAAATCAATTTAATAGATCAGAACCAGCATTTTAGATTTTTTTTTTTCTTTTTTGAGACAGAGTCTTGCTCTGTCACCCAGGCTGGAGTGGTGCGATCTTGGTTCAATGCAACCTCCGCCTCCTGGGTTCAAGCGATTCTCCTGCCTCAGTCTCCCGAGTAGCTGGGATCACAGGTGCCTACAACCACGCCCAGCTAATTTTTGTATTTTTGTAGAGACAGGGTTTCACCATGTGGCCAGGCTGGTCTCGAACTCCTGACCTCAGGTGATCCACCCGCCTCGGCCTCCCAAAGTGCTGGGATTACAGGTGTGAGCCATCAGGCCTGGCCTAGAATTTTTTTTTTTTAATTAGAATATGTCACATGCAGTAAAACTAAGTATTGTTTTGTACAAATGGATATCAACCCTGTAAATGTGTGTGCTGAGTGAAGATGTCAAACACCCCCTCGGCCAGGCGTGGTGGCTCACACCTAGAATCCCAACACTTTGGGAGGCTGAGGCAGGAGAATCGCTTGAGCCTAGGGATTTGAGACCAGCCTGGGCAACATAATGAGACCTCGTCTCTACAAAAAGAAATTTTTTAATTAGCCAGGCATGATATTGCGCACCTATAATCCCAGCTACTTGGGAGGCTGAGGTGGGAGGATCACTTGAGCCTGGGAGATTAAGGCTGCAGTGAGCGGTGATTGCCCCATTGCACTCCAGCCTAGGTGACTAAGAGAGACCCTATCTCAAAAAAAATTGAAATTAAAATTTGTAAACCACAAAAACTTACCTCTCACTGCGGGTCTCAGTCAACACAGCCTGCCAACGCTCTCACACAACCATTTGACCCGCCCCTTCTGTTCCTCAGTCTTCAACCCAACCTAACACACATGCAACCTCACCCCAGGACACCTGTGCATCATTGCACCTGCCCAGGATTTCATCAGCAGCCTGGACACTGGCAGAATGGTAGGAATGTTTAAGGCTGACCCAATCATGGCTTCCTCACCTCGGAGTACTGCCTCTGCCAGGGCCCTTCCTGCCACATTTGATTCCCAATACACATCCGTTTGGTTTTTGTTTTATTGGGTTTTGAGTTTGTTAGGGGGAGTGGGAGAGGGGTGCAGGTGGCTGGTAGACCAGTAGAGTTCAGGAAGCCGGCTGTTAAACCCCTGGTCACTTTTGGTCAAGCTAGTGCTGGGCTTGGAGCTGGAGGCTGGAGGCTGTTCAGCACTCACCATCCTTACAGACACAAGCGGTCAAGAGGGTCCTCACTCATTACCACCTTTAATCTCCAGTAGTCCACTGGCAATCTCTGTCAGCTCTGGCCATGTGTATGAAATAGCAGAGAATCTAGCTGAAAAATGATTTTTTTGTCTGCATGATACAAAATAATCATTTTACCTAATCTTTTTTCTTCACTCACATGACTGAACCACAAGATTGCTTTTGGCATCGTGTAGAGTAGACCTTGCAACTCAGAGCATGGAGCAAGGAGCTGCAACGCCAGCCTCGCCTGGGAGGCTGTGAAAAGGCAGAATCCTGGGTCCAGTCTAGACCTAAGGATTCAGAATCTTCATTTTAGCAAGACTCCACAGGAAATTTACGCACACGTTAAAGTTTGAGGCGCAGTGGCATAGTTCTTATGCTGGCTGAAGTGCTGTTTTCATTAAGATTCATATCCAATTAGCTTTGGCCACAGGTGCTATTTTTGCAGGTATGCAGCGCTCTTGCAGGCCACTGGGACCTGCTGGGGTCTGGAGTGCCGCCTTCCGCTTCCATCATAGACCCAAGATTCAGAAATGCTAGCTCAGCTGAGTGAGGTGGCTCATGCCTGTAATCCTAGCACTTTGGGAGGCCAAGACAGGAGGATTGCCTGAGGCCAGGAGTTCAAGACCAGCCTGGTCACCATAGTGAGATCCCATCTCTACAAACAAACAAAAAAAATCAGCTGGGTGTGGTGGCGCATGCCTGTAGTCCTAGCTACTCGGGAGGCTGAGGCACGAGGATCACTTGAGCCTGGGAGTCTGAGGCTGCAGTGGAGCTGTGATGGCACCACTGAACCCCATCCTGGGCAACACAGTGAGACCCTGTCTCTAAAAATAAATAATGAATGAATGAAATGCTGGCTCACTAACAGCTGCTGGGCTTCGGCCACGTTTCCATCCCTCCGCAGTGAAATTGTCAGCGTGAGATCTGTCCTTTCCTGGCAAGCGCTGTCTTTCACTCTGGTTTTATTCTCTTCCTCCTACTTTTCTGGCGTTTAAATCTGCTTTGTTGTAGGACATGAGAGTGCCTGTGATTGTAGACATCATTTTGTTTGGTTTTGTTTATGTCTTCACTAGGCAAAATAACACTTGATTACCTATGTCTACCCTGTTGTTTTCAGTTTTCTAGCCTACGAATCCAAAAGTCTGGGAACAACTAGTAAAAATGAAACCGGCAGGGTGTCTTGCTGAAACCTGTGCGGCTAAAGCAGAATTGGAGTGTGGTGTGCCACCGAAGATTTGGGGTACAGCAGTGTTTGCGCCATCATTCAGAGTGCTGGAAACTAAAAGGGGCCCACTCTGTGAGAAAGAGGCACAGAAAGACAGCGGCACAGCTGGAAGGCGGCACTCCAGACGCCAGCAGGTCCCAGTGGCCTGCAAGAGCGCTGCGTACCTGCAAAAATAGCACCTGTGGGCAAAGCTAACTGGATATGAATCTTAATGAAAACAGCACTTCAGCTAGCATAAGAACTATAGGAAGACAGGCCAGGCACAGTGGCTCAGCACTTTGGGAGGCTGAGGAGGGTGGATCACCTGAGGTCAGGAGTTCGAGACTAGCCTGGCCAACATGGTGAAACCCCGTCTCTACTAAAAATACAAAAATTAGCCAGGCATGGAGGCATGTGCCTGTAGTCCCAGCTACTCAGGAGCTGGAGTCAGGAGAATCGCTTGAACTCGGGAGGCAGAGGTTGCAGTGAGCCAAGATTGCACCACTGCACTCCAGCCTGGGCAACAAAGTGAGACTCCGTCTCAAAAAAAAAAGCTGTAGGAAGACAGACCTCATGGCTGGACACCCAAAACCCAAACACGTCAAGGTTTGTTTTCTCTGATATCGTCTCCTGAAAACTAAAGAACCTGTCACAAGCAAGCAGACCTATCTCCAAGCAGAAGAAATCATGCAATGTGGGAAAGAGGGGTGATTTTCCTCAGTAAATGGAGTGGCTGGAGTGAGTCTGTGGGAAGCACAGAACCACGGCCTGGTGCAGTGGGAATGGAGGAAGGCCAGGAAGGCAGCAGCCACTGGACCTGGTGCGGTCCACAGAGGAACAGGAGCAGCCTTCGTCCTCAACCCACATCCCCAGGCCCTGTGCAGCTGCTCAGCTCCCCTGCAAGGCTCGAAGCCCCATCTCCAGCGTCCTGGGATTCTCAGCATTCCAAGCCTGGCACATAACAATGGCAGTGTTTGTAGCATTTCAGAACAAGCTTGGAAACTTTCAAATGTCAGAATGAGTGATGTGGAAAGCTTGTGGGAGACACAGAGAGGCAAAAGCTGAGCTGGGAAAATGGCAAGGCAGGGAGGCGCCAGAGGGAGCACTGCTTAACACGTCCGTGGGGCTCCAAGGCTTTTAATAAAGGGATCCTCAGAAGCAGAAAAACATCTTGAGC
The DNA here is from genome assembly GCF_000001405.40 of Homo sapiens. Taxonomy (NCBI): domain Eukaryota; kingdom Metazoa; phylum Chordata; class Mammalia; order Primates; family Hominidae; genus Homo; species Homo sapiens. The sequence continues at coordinate 235,090,796 of NC_000001.11, forward strand.
TGTCAGAGAAGCAGTGATGTGGCAAAAATGTGAAGATTTACTGCGGTCCCGGCGGGGAGAGCTGGGGCACGTGTTACTGATTTTATCAAGGACCCACTGTCTGATTCGCCAGAGGATTTCGTGGAACAGGGAGCGCTGCTATCCGAGCAGGATCTGGGCATCGGAAGACACACGCAGCTCCTGTCTTGCTAAGAGGAGGAGGCCACCTGTAACCAGGAAGCTCCCACACTGAAGACCAGACGTCACTCGATTCCCACGGTCCACATGGCCCTTCCAGAGGAGACTGTGTTGCACAGTCGTCCACAATTTTGGAACGTCTAAGAGATGCCCACTCTGTGAGAAGCACTGGGCAGAGCTTAGGAATAAACATGGGAAGGCAGAAGTACAGCTCAAAGGCGGCATTCCAGATGCCACTTCATCCCGGGGGGAATGACAGTGATGTACCCCACAGCAGGAAACCAGGGCTCAGCACCCCCGACCTCCCTGACTGCAGTCTTCTCACCTGTGAATGATAGACTAGGGCTGGATAATGGTGACATCCCCCATAGATGGCAAGATTCTCAGAAAGAAGAATCCTGGGTCTCCCTCAACCCATGTTAGGCCTCAGTGACTGGCATGGAGTCAGATCTGTCGAAGGAATGGGTGGGTGAGGCGGTGCAAGCCCCTCCTTAGGGCCGAGACTCAGGCTTGTCCCCAGGGTGGAGAGGTCTCTAGAGAGAGATGTGGCCAGGCGCAGTGGCTCACACCTGTAATCTCAGCACTTTGGGAGGCCGAGGCAGTGGATCACCTGAGGTCAGGAGTTCAAGACGAGCCTGATCAACATGGTGAAGCCTGTCTCTACTAAAAATACAAAAATTAGCCGGGCACGGTGACACGTGCCTGTAAACCCAGCTACTCAGGAGGCTGAGGCAGGAGAATCGCTTAAATCCGGGAGGTGGAGGCTGCAGTGAGCTGAGATTGCGCCATTGCACTCCAGCCTGGTTGACGAGAGCAAGACTCCGTCTCAAAAAAAAAAAGAGATGCAATACAGGCATGGTAGCTCACGCCTGTAATCCCAGCACCTCGGAGGTCAAGGCGGGAGGATTGTTTGAGGCCAGGAGTTCAAGACCAGCCCGGACAACATAGCAAGATCCCATCTCTACAAAAAATCTAAAAATTAGCCGGGCATGGTGGTGCATGCCTGTAGTCCCAGCTACTCGAGAGGCTGAGGTGGGAGGATCACTTGAGACCAGGTGTTGGAGGCTGCAACAATCTATGATGGTGCCCCTGCACTCCAGCCTGGGTAACAGAGCAAGACCCTATCTCAAAAGAGAGAGAGAGAGAGAAGCCATAAGCTCGCAAGGAACCCCCCTGCCTTCTCCCATCCACCACAACTGCCTGCTTGGGCAGCAGGAATGGGTATATGAGGACAGGGACTTGGAACCAGGCCAACCTCAGTCAGCTCCATGCTCACTTCTGCTGGGGTTTTTTTGTTTTGTTTTGTTTTTTTGAGACGGAGTCTTGCTCTGTCCCCCAGGCTGGAGTGCAGTGGTGTGATCTTGCAACCTCCGCCTCCCGGGTTCAAGCGATTCTCCTGCCTCAGCCTCCCGAGCAGCTGGGACTACAGGCGCGCGCCACCACGCCCGGCTAACTTTTGTATTTTTAGTAGAGATGGGGTTTCACTATGTTGACCAGGCTGGTCTTAAACTCCTGACTTCAAGTGATCCACCTGCCTTGGCCTCCCAAAGTGCTGGGATTACAGGCCTGAGCCACCGCCCCCGCCTCACTTCTCCTGTTAATGACCTCAACCCTCTGAGCCAATTGCCACATCCGTGTGAAACAAGAACACCACCTAGAAAGGTTTAGAAGGGTTAGAGGTGACTGCCCGGGCGCGGTGGCTCACGCCTGTAATCCTAGCACTTTGGGAGGCCGCGGCGGGCAGATCACCTGAGGTCGGGAGTTCAAGACCAGTCTGACCAACATGGAGAAACCCCATCTCTACTAAAAATACAAAATTAGCCGGGCATGGTGGCACATGCCTGTAATCCCAGCTACTCAGGAGGCTGAGGCAGGAGAATCACTTGAACCCGCGAGGCGGAGGTTGCAGTGAGCCGAGATTGTGCCACAGCACTCCAGCCTGGGCAACAAGAGTGAAACTCTGTCTCAAAAAAAAAAAAAAAAAAAAAAAAAAAAAGGTTAGAGGGTTAGAGGTGACTTAAGTAACAGCACTCAGCATCTAGCACACAGTAGGCCCGGAGTGATCATTACTACTGGCTTACAGTGGCTTCGCCAGCACAGTCAGCCTCATGGGAAGGAGCACCCAAGTCTCAGGGCCACTCCCTGAGCACGTGTGAACTCAGCGGGATCCTTGCTGACTGGAGTCCCATGGGGAAGCATGACGGGGAGCCGGGAAGCGCTGGTCGTCCGAACGGGGCGGGAGCCTGGACAACAGGGGTACGAGGACCCAAAGCCTTCCCCTTGTTTCCTCCTCATCAATTCTCAGCAGAGTGAGGGGTGAGGAGTTAGGCCCTAGGGAGCAGGAAACAAGCAGGGATCCGGCCACACACCCACCTTCACCTTGATCCCCGGCGGGACGTCCCCACCCCTTCCCAGCAAGGCAGCCCTCAGGAGCTGCAGCCCAAGTGTCTCGCCTGGAGCTTCCAAGTGCAGAGCCTGATTTTTGAAGAACCACTGCCACACTCTGGCAAATGCAAGGAAGTCATTCTCGGTGCTGTGGCCTGGGGACCATCACGAACTGTCCTAGAGCGCAATCCGAATGCAAGCAGGGGAGAGGAGGCCCCAGCAGGCTGGATGCTGCTACGGGGAGTGACGGTCACCCCTGTGTGTCCAGAGCCCACTCCACGCCTGGAACGCAGTAAACACTGCATCGACAGTGGCCCTCCCCGCAGTCCCCCTTGCTCACCCCCTTAGCTCCTGAGCTCTTTATCATGCTTTCCGCGTGGCCCTGCTCTCACCTGACTGTAATCTGCATTTATTCCCTGTCTCCAGCTGATCTGTGAGTTCCACAAAGGGGAGAAGCCACCTGCTGGGCGGTCTTGCATCTGTGGCAATGCCTTGTGCATAAACAAACCTTCGCTAAATGTTTGTTGAGCGAACAGAAGAGCGAATGATGCACACGAATATGGAGGTCTACTAATATGTGCTTAAGGAATTAAACCGGTGATGATAGAGATGAAAGAGGCGGGTAGGTCATCGCAGTGCCTGCGGTAGGCACTAGATGGCGCCCAAGCACACCAAGAAGGCGCTGAGAGGCGGGCCGAGCAGCATGAGTTTTTGGTATAGGGGTTTCCTGGAAGATTGAAGCAGTTTATCTATGAGGGCCCCTTGACTGAAAGTCTAAGATCTGGTACAAATAAGCCAGGATCAGCGGGACATGCTGTATTACAGTTCTCCAGGGAAACAAAACCAACAGGATGTGTGTAGAGAGAGGAAGAGTTTCACGTTGAGGAATGGGCTCGTGATTGTGGAGGCTGGCAGGTCCTAAACCCAAGGCGTGGGCCAGCACAGTCCAGACCCAGGAGAGCGGAAGGTGCAGAGAAGTCCCAGGGCGTTCTGCCGGATAACTTCCCTCGCTTGGGAAGGCCAGTCTTTTTGTTCTACTTAGATCTTCAACTGATTGGATGAGACCCACCGACATTAGAGAGGGCCTCTGCTTTACTCAGAGTTTACCAATATGTTTTGGGATTTTTTTAAATATAAAATGAGATCCTGCTATGTTGCTCAGGCTAGAGTGCAGTGGCACAATCATAGTTCAATGCAGCCTCAAACTCTTGGCCCCAAGCAATCCTCCCACTTCAGCCTCCCAAGTAGCTAGGATTACAGGTGTGCACCACCATGCCTGGCTGTAATGTTGATCTCATACAAAAACACCCTCCCAGTTGACACATAAAGTTAACTATCACACACACAGCTTGAGCTGTTGTTCCAGAGAAGCCGTGATCTTTTTTATTGTTTGTTTGTTTTTTGGAGATGGAGTCTCACTCTGTCGTCCAGGCGGCGCTCAGCTCACTGCATCCTCTGCCTCCTGGATTCAAGCAATTCTCCTGCCTCAGCCTCCCGAGTAGCTGGGACTACAGGCACACGCCACCGTGCCCAGCTAATTTTTTATATTTTAGTAGAGACGGGGTTTCACCCTGTTGTCTAGGCTGGTCTCGAACTCCTGAGCTCAGGCAACCTGCCCGCCTCGGCCTCCCAAAGTGCTGGGATTACAGGCGTGAGCCACCGTGCCCGGCAGCCGTGATCCTGCATGGAGACCAACATCCTCCATCTCTCCCTCTTGCCTTCTCCCAAGAGCCCCATAATAAGTGCGAAGTGCTGGAGCAGAGACCTGTTTCCTCCCAGAGAAATCCAAAGGTTCATGGATCAGAATGTTTTGGTTTTTTGTTTTTGTTTTTGTTTGAGACGGAGTCTCACTCTGTCGCCCAGGCTGGAGTGCAGTGGCGCGATCTCGGCTCACTGCAAGCTCCTCCTCCCAGGTTCAAGCCATTCTCCTGCCTCAGCCTCCCCAGTAGCTGGGACTACAGGGGCCCGCCACCACGCCCGGCTAATGTTTTCTTTGTTGTTGTTGTTTTTGTTTGTTTTTTTTTTTGTATTTTTAGTACAGATGGGGTTTCACCGTGTTAGCCAGGGTGGTCTTGATCTCCTGACCTCGTGATCCGCCCGCCTCGGCCTCCCAAAGTGCTGGGATTACAGGCGTGAGCCACCGCGCCCAGCCAGATCAGAATGTTTTTTCCACGTGTGGCCAGGCACGGTGGCTCACGCCTGTAATCTCAGCACTTTGGGAGGCGGAGGCGGGCAGATGACCTGAGGTCAGGAGTTCGAGACCACCCTGACCAACGTGGTGAAACTCGTCTCTACTAAAAATACAAAAATTAGCTGGGTGTGGTAGTGGGCACCTGTAATCCTAGCTACTCGGGAGGCTGAGGCAGGAGAATCGCTTGAACCAGGGAGGCGGAAGCTGCAGTGAGCCGAGATCGCACCTCTGCACTCCTCCAGCCTGGGAGACAGAGTGAGACTCCATCTCAAAAAACAAACAAAAAAGAATGTTTTCCCACACACGACCCCACAAGGCAATGCAGAGAATACTACCCAGGACATGGTTCTAGGTTCAACTTCTGAGGACACTCTCCCAACCTGTTTTATAGATGCTCTTTGTAGAATTTTTGTCAGTGTTTAAAAATTAGCTTAGCCCTAAAGGTCTATGAATTGATGGTAAGTAATTTAATTGGAGATGAGTATGTGAGGAGACAAAGGAAGAAACGTTACCCTCTCCACTGAGCACAGCTAATACCGCAGATAGGAAAGAGCTTTCAGCATATTCACTGATTGGAGTCGTGTTTACATTCCTGTTGTCAACTGGAAATATTTGCTTGTTTAAAGGAAGCTTCCTGAGTGTCATCTAATTGTTAAATCTCTGTTCTGAGGGAAAGTTCTAGGTGTAGACCCACACCGCACAGTTCGTAAGTGACCATGTGCTAAGGCAAGGCACAAACTCGCCTTAGCTGCTAAATTATTTTCTTTCACCATAAAACTGCAAACAGTACTGCAAACAAATCTGCAAACAGTACTGCAAACAAATCTGCAAACAGTACTACTATCAGCAAAATCATCCATTATTTTTCCATGTTAGTATTTTTTAAGCCACTATTCTCAGAAACAAAACAAAACCTTTATTTGTGTTTAGACATCATCAGTTAGCATCATAAAAACCTTTGATTAAAGCAAAATTAGGCCATTGGTAATAGACTCACAAAAACCATTGGGGAAAAAACTGCTTCATCCTTTGAGCTACTCTCTACTTTGCAATCCAGTTTTTTAAATAAGGTTTCTAAATACACAACATGAGTAGTGACCTGCTGGTGTTTCTAGCTTGGAAGAAAGCCATGGAAGCCTGTCCCTTGGTCCACTTAGGAGAGAAGAGAGAGACAAGGCAGCCGAAAGAAAGTTCTCCAAAGTGGAGGTGCCCTTCTACAATGCTAGACAGCCCGAGCATACTCTTCACTCTTTTTGTTTGTTTTTGTTTTCGTTTTTGTTTGAGACACAGTCTCGCTCTTGACACCCAGGCTGGAGTGCAGTGATGCGATCTGGGCTCACTGCAACCTCCACTTCCCAAGTTCAAGCTATTCTCCTGCCTCAGCCTCTTGAGCAGCTGGGACTACAGGCGCCCGCCACCATGCCCAGCTAATTTATGTATTTTTAGTAGAGATGGGGGTTTCACCATGTTGGCCAGGCTGGTCTCGAACTCCTGACTTCAGGTGATCCACCCGCCTCAGCCTCTCGAAGTGCTGGGATTACAGTACAGGCATGAGCCACCGCGCCTGGTTTGTTTTTTTTCTTTCAGATTTTATGGCTTTATTTAAACACAAATAATATGTACACATGGCTGCCCATTCATTTTCTTGGCGGGGCAGCCCAGCATTGGGATTGCTGACTCTGACGGCAGCTGGGCTGCTCTTCCCGAAACAGCGTTGCGGTTCTTGGTTCTTGGAGGAGGCACGGCGAGCGGTCCCTGCACAGTCAGATTCACTGCCCATCAGCAGCACTTCCAGTTTCTTGATGTAGTGGACCAGGAACTGGTCTAACTGGTGCCAGATGAAGTTTTTGATCCTCTTTTGGATGCTCTTGGGCTCCATGAGGGGTCTGAGGGAGCCATCATTCAGAGTAGGAGATAAATGTCACCTCCGTAGACAGAACCAAGGAAAGGGTTTTTTTTGTTTTCTGGGGGTTTGTTGTTGTTTTTTGAGGCGGGATCCCATTTTGTTGCCCAGGTTATGCAATCATAGCTCACTGTAACCTCAAACTGGCGGGCTCAAGCCATCCTCCTGCTCGTCTCTCCAGTAGCTGGGACTACAGGCACATGCCATCATGCCCGGCTAATCATTTTTAAAAAATTTTTTGGCCGGGCGCGGTGGCTCACGCCTGTAGAATCCCAACACTTTGGGAGGCCGAGGCGGGTGGATCACCTGAGGTCAGGAGTTCAAGGCCAGCCTGGCCAACATGGCGAAACCGCGTCTCTACTAAAAATACAAAAAGTTAGCCAGGCGTGGTGGCAGGCACCTGTAATCCCAGCTACTTGGGCAGGAGGCTGAGGCAGGAGAACTGCTGGAACCCAGGAAGCGGAGGTTGCAATGAGCCGAGATCGTGCCATTCCACTCCAGCCCGAGCAACAAGAGCAAGACTTCGTCTCAAAAAAAAAAAATTTTTTTTTGTAGAGCTGGGGGTCTCACTGTGTTGTCCAGGCTGGTCTTGAACTCCTGGTCCCAAGGGACCCTCCCACCTTAACTTCCCAAAGTACTGGGATCACAAGCGTGAGTCATCACACCTGGTCTATTTTTGTTGTTGTTGTTCAATAGACTTTTTATTTCTACCTCTGCCAATAGTTTTTGGGAGTTTTATTTGCTGTTTGTTTGTTTTTTAGAGGCAGAGTCTCAATATGTCCTGGGTAAATTCTTATGAGATCAGACCCTATTCCCCAATGAAAGACTGAAATAATTAAGGCTGCGCAATGGTCCTCACTTGGGAGAGGGACAGCCCACTTCAGCGAGACACAGCGCCCCGCAGACTGTGCACCTATGGGATCAGAGCTCTCTGGTGACACTCAACAGAGATGGACCCAAACTCTAGGGAGGGAGGAAGGAGGAGGAAAGGAAGGAAGGGAGGGAGGTAAAGAGGAAGGGAAGGAAAAAGAGAGGGAGAGGGGGAGGAAACGGGGAGAAAAGAGAAGGAATGACCTCTGAGACAGAGGAGTTGGCTTGGGTGGGTTGCAGGCACAGTGATTTTCCTCCCACCACTGGCTCCACGTGGAGTGGGGGCTGAATGGATGACTCTCCAAAATTAAATTGGGGTGCTATTCCCAAAGTCAGGGAGAAGGACTTCGGACAGGCAAGAAACATGTGCCCAGGGAAGCGCCCACCTGCAGGAGTGGGCAGGAAAGCTTGGTGGCGTGAACAATATTAGTGTCATTCTCCTTTCATTTTCCATCAGTTTGTGTTTTTGTTTTGTTTTTGTTTTCTTTTAAGACAGAGTCTTGCTCTGTCACCCAGGCTGGAGTGCAGTGGCGCAGTCCTAGCTCACTGCAGCCTGGAACTCCTGAGCCCGATTGATCCTCTGGTCTCAGCCTCCCAAATAGCTGGGACTACAGGTTCATGCCACCAAACCTGGCTAATTATTTTAATTGTTTAGAGAGATGAGGTCTCTCTATGTTGCCCAGGCTGATCTCAAACCCCTGGCCTCAAGCGATCCTCTCACCTTGGCCTCCTAAAATGCCGAGGTTACTGGCCAATATATACCCAGTTCTTAACATGATTTTAAACTTTGGTCTTGGGTCCAACTAAATCAGATGAGTGGCCAGGCCCGGTGGCTCCCACCTGTGCTCCCAACACTGTGGGAGGCCGAGGCAGGTGGATCACCTGAAGTCAGGAACCCGAGACCAGCCTGGCCAACATGTCGAAACCCCGTCTCTACTAAAAGTACAAAAATTAGGCAGGTGTGGTGGCGCATGCCTATAATCCCAGCTGCTCGGAAGGCTGAAGTGGAAGGATGGCTTGAACCCAGGAGGTGGAGGTTGCAGTGAGCCAAGATCACAACACTGTACTACAGCCTGGGAAACAGAGAGAGACTCCATCTTAAAAAAAAAAAAAAAAAAAAAATCAGATGACCTCCTGTTTATTTAGAATGTAGATTTCTGGACTCACTCCCACAAGACTGTCTCAGTAATGCTGAGACCGAGCCCTAGAATCTGCATTTTTTTGGAGTCTTGCTCTGTCGCCCAGGCTGGAGTGCAGTGGTGTGATCTTGGCTCACTGCAGCCTCCCACTTCTGGGTTCAAGCAATTCTCCTGCCTCCGCCTCCCAAGTAGCTGGGATTACACAGGCATATACTATCATGCCCAGCTAATTTTTGTATTTTTAGTAGAGACAGAGTTTCACCATCTTGGCCAGGCTGGTCTCAAACTCCTGACTTCAGGTGATCTGCCCACCTCAGCCTCCCAAAATGCTGGGGTTACAGGCGTGAGCCACAGCGCCCAGCCCAGAATCTGCATTTTAACCAGCCTCCCCCAGGTTGCTGCCCACTGGTACACGTTCCTGTAGCAAAAAGGAGAGATACTCAATAGACTATAAAACTCCACATTAAAATACGAAAATCCGGACTACAAGAGTAACACCAAAGAGAGACTGGACAGATTCTACAGGAAGGTTTACAAATAATTTCCTTCCCACAGTCAAATTATTCTCCTCTCTGGCTTTTCCAGAAAAATGCTGGCAATTAAAAAGGTGTAAATAGGACAAAATCTAGGAAAGAAAATGTCCCAAACAGGAGTAAGGCCAAAAGGTCCCCTCTCCCTCCCACTTTTGGGGATTGACAATCCCCTGTAGCTACTTTGTAAACTTAAAAGTCTCGGAGTGGGTGAGAAGGGATCACCGGCTCAACATGTTCTTTTCCCCAAGCGGCCATAGCATCTGTCAGCAGGTCTCCCCGCCAGGCAAATAAGCGGCTTGCGGGCCGGCCCTGCACACCTGCAGCTGCTGGTTGCTCTGGCAACCGAGACCCAAGCCCAGGCCTGCAGCGGCCTTGCGCAGATGTGCTTCCTCTGGTTGTCAACGCAGGAAAAAGAATTGAGTGTGAAACACTCAGGATCTGTGAGAAACTATGTGATCTGGAAAGAAAAATCTCTGCAAACCTTTTTGATGCAAAAGACACTGTGAAATGGGCGTTAGTGAGAATTTCACGTTCCCACAGTGTGATGGGTGTTTTGCAGAGTCATGTGGCAATGTTGGGGTCAACAGCTGATCCAGTTCATTCCTTTCTCAGTTAAAGAGTCCAGGGAGGGCGGCTGACTTTGAAAGGGAAACAGGACTGAACCCTAGGTCTCTTGAGCCTTGTTTCTGGCAGATCCTCCACTAGCAATGAATTTTTTTTTTCTTTTTTTCTTTTTTTCTTTTTTTTTGAGAGGGAGTTTTGCTCTTGTTGCCCAGGCTGGAGTGCAATGGTGCGATCTTGGCTACTGCAACCTCCGCCTCCCCGATTCAAGCGATTCTCCTGCCTCAGCCTCCCGAGTAGCTGGGATTACAGGCATGTGCCACCACACCCGGCTAATTTTTGTATTTTTATTAGAAACGGGGTTTCGCCACATTGGTCAGGCTGGTCTCGAATTCCTGACCTCAGGTGATCCGCCTGCCTCAGCTTCCCAAAGTGCTGAGATTACAAGCGTGAGCCACCACGCCCGGTCCTGGCAATGAATTTTGAACCTCCTTTAAGTTTAACCACCTCCCTCCAGGAGTATCTAATAGCGTGTTCTCACAGAGCTAGTCCAAACCCTGGAAGTTCTGATGGCTCCCCATCCAACTGTGAAGAGAGGTCAACAGGCCACATATTGGCTCTAGACAGAGACATGGGATAAGGACTCATCTCAGTGACATGAGAAAAAAAGGGAATGAAGATTGTCTATGAAAGGAAAAAAATGAAAACTAAGAAATATTGAGAAGGAGGGCCTGGTGCAGTGGCTCATGCCTGTAATCCCGGCATTTTAGGAGGCTGAGGTGGGTGGATCACTTGAGGTCAGGAGTTCCAGACTAGCCTGACCAACAGGGTGAAACCCCGTCTCTACTAAAAAAAAAAAACCCACAAAATTAGCTGGGCATGGTGGCGCATGCCTGAAATCCCAGCTAGTTGGGAGGCTGAGGCAGGAGAATCACTTGAACCCAGGTGGCGGAGGTTGCAGTGAGCTGAAATCATAACAAGAGGGAAACTGCAACTCAAAAAAAGGAAGGGAAGGGGAGGGGAGAGGAGGGGAGGGGAAGGGAGGGGAGAGGAGGGGAGGGGAGGGGAGGGGGAGGCGGAGGTAGGGAAGGGGAGAGGGAGGGAGGGAGGGAGGGAAGGGAGGAAAGGGAGGAAAGGAAAGAAAATAAAGAAAGGAAAGATTGAGAAGGAAAGAATAAAGCAGAAGTAGAAAACAGCCCTGAGCCTTGGAGTCATAGGAAATTTTTTATCAGAGGTGTTGATTCTTCCTGTTTAATCCTGGTGGGTTAGCATTTTGTGAACAAGTCTTTCCCTTTTGCCTTGGCTACCAGGAAGCTCAGCGCTAAACTCTGGGTTAATTACAGCAGTTTTCCTTAGCCTCAGTTTTCTTCTCCCTGCATTACTGCAAATCCTTTCTGGAAGTAGGTAGGAAGACAGCATTTGTGATTTTCTTGCTACCTATCTATTCCCCCTGTTTTGACAGCTGGACACCAAATTCCCTCCAGGAAACTATCCTTCTCCTACTCTTAGCCCGTGTGCTTGGGACAGAGGGTTCCAACTCCATCTCAGGAGTGACGCATGTGAGATGGGTGTGAGTCAAGCAGTTCTGCCAGCTGCCTTGCCACAGTGCTTCAATTTTAGGCAGATCTATGAGCCAACTGGAGCCAAAGAGACGCAAAGAACAGTTTGTCAGGAATCACAGGATAGAAATTGTTGCCACTAGACTTGAAATTGGAAGGACATGAGTCTGAAGCTACCACAGCTGTATTGGGACCAGGAGGGAAGCATCTGCCCAAAACTACAGCCCAATCAAGAGGTGAGACCTGAAGGATGAAGAGAGAGAAAGAAACCAGATCCAGCTGTACCTGAAGCCCACCCTGCTGTCAAACAACAAAGTCCCCTTCTGCTTCAGTTTGCCTGGGTCTATAAGCATGGACAAAACACCTTACTTTGCTTTCTCTTACTCTATGAAGGGTACGTGGTTATGGCCAAATATGTAAAAAATACAGGAAAGTATAAGTAAGAAAAATCCGGCCGGGCTCAGTGGTTCATGCCTGTAATCCCAGCACTTTGGGAGGCCAAGGCAGGCAGATCACAAGGTCAGGAATTCGAGACCAGCCTGGGCAATATGGTGAAACCCCGTCTCTCCTAAAAATACAAAAATTGGCTGGGCGCTGTGGCTCATGCCTGTAATCCCAGCACTTTGGTAGGCTGAGATGGGCGGATCACCTGAGGTCAGGAGTTTGAGACCAGCCTGGCCAATATGGTGAAACCTCGTCTCTACTAAATACAAAAATTAGCCAGGCGTGGTGGCAGGCACCTGTAGTCCCAGCTACTGGGGAGGCTGAGGCAGGAGAATCACTTGAACCTGGGAGGCAGAGGTTGCAGTGAGCTGAGATCACGCCACTGCACTCCAGCCTGGGCGACAGGGTGAGACTCCATCTCAAAAAAAAAAAAAAAAAAAATCCATCCATAACCCCATAACCTAGAGATAATGATCAAAGTGAACTTATTGTTCCTAAAATTTACTTTGAAGACAGGAAAACCACCACTCATGAGCACCTTCAAGCATGTCAGTAACCCAAAACCAGATCCCTTCACAAGTTTCTCCATTTAAGCCGCACGACAGGAGTTTGTAGCTCATTTCTGTTTAGCTGTAGAGAGTAGTTCTAGCAGGCTTTTGACTTAGATTTAAGGATTTTTTTTTCTCCTCCCACATTCAGAAGCCATAAATCTGTACTCCAGGAAGCCAGAGGCATAGTATGAGGAGACAATCCCTATTCTGGGCTTGGCCCAGAATCAAACGCCTTTTTGCTAGAACAGCTGAGCTGGCTGAGGGAGCCGCCTGTCTCAGAGGAGCAGCTGGCATTTCAGGTGTGCCTTTTTTTTTTTTTTAATTATACTTTAAGTTCTAGGGTACATGTGCACAACGTGCAGGTTTGTTACATATGTATACATGTGCCGTGTTGGTGTGCTGCACCCATTAACTCGTCATTTACATTAGGTATATCTCCTATGCTATCCCTCCCCCCTCCCCCCACCCCAGGTGAAACCCAGTCTCTACTAGAAATACAAAAATTAGCTGGGCGTGGTGGCTCGTGCCTGTAGTCCCAACTACTTGGGAGGCTGAGACACAAGAATCCCTGGAACCCAGGAGGCGGAGGCTGCAGTGAGCCGAGATCGCGCCACTGCACTCCAGCCTGGGCGACAGAGCGAGATTCCGTCTCAAAAAAAGGAAAAAAAAAAAAAAAGAAGATATTCTCATGCCCTTTGGAAATGAGGCACCTAAGCCTCAGAGAAGTTAAGTGCCCCAGTACGCTGCACATTTAGAACTCAAACCCAAGCCCCTGCTTCTAAAAACCGTGTTCGTTCCGCCACCCCACAGCTGCCCCTCTATTTTTGTAGGGTGATTCTACAGAACTGGGAAGGTAAGGAGTTGTAGAAACCCTCTGCCACATTTTATTCTTTGCCTTTCGTAGAAAAAGATCATACTTACGTTGCTTTGACTCACTCTGAAGATTAACCTGGAATTGCGTCTCTTCTTGGACAAGTCAGAAGTCCTTTCAACTATCCTTTTCAATTATCTTCTCCTGTCTGGTAGTTTCCCATCTAGAATTTTAATTCACGAAGACTGGAAACAGGACTTCACAAAATGTCATCCTGGCACATTTTCCAGGAGGAACGGTTTTATTTATAAACAAATAATCGGAGCATTTTCATTTCGCTATGATGATCGCTGTAATTGGCAGAATCACAGTCGCGCTGGGGCTCGAGGCTCCCGGAGGCCGGGGGGTAGGCACGGCGCGGACGCACCCTAGGATCGCCGCCAGAGGGCGCCAGCGCGCTCCTTCGCGTCTGCTGCTGCCCTGATGAAAACGCTCACAGCGCACGCGGTACAGACGGAGCAAATCCTATGAACTTCTCCAGCCCAGTTTAGAACAAGGGAAAGGGGAGCGCGCGGTACCGGCTGTCCACTCCGCGGTCCTCCTGGCTCAAGTCACCCTGAGTCTTCCCCCAGCTGACAAAGGCGATCGGACGCACAGCCAGGACCCAGAACCGTGGATGGATCCACTTTGCCAATATATTGAAAAAACTGATGCCATGTTGAGAGAAGAGAGAAATCTATTTTTGTAAGAAATGTTACTTTACACATACTTTGCTGATTTTTTATCTCAAAAAACCCAAGACCTGGTGTAGTGTCCAGTAACTCAGTTGCCTGGAGCCCTATGCAATGAGACTGAATTTCCATGGGGCCCGGTTAGTAGCTTTAAATCATTTTCAGGCAAGGCGTACACACACACACACACACACACACACACACACACACACACACACACACGTATATACACAGAGAGAGAGAGAGCTCACCTGGTACTTCTCTTTCGTTTCATGGTGACACATTACAGTGCACACAACTTGACCAGCTTACAGGTGCTAGAAATGGAAGTCTGAGGCTGACAACTCAAGGGTGTGTGTGTCAGGGGCAACAGCTCCGTAGATGGGTATTATTAACTATAATTACACCAACCCAGCCTCTTTTGAAAATTGATCAGAGATGCTTTTTCTTGTCTTGATGAGTAGGTCGGAGTAATTATCATTTGCACTGGGAAATAATACCATTGGTTCTAGGGCTGATGTCTGCAAAGCTGGCTTCACTGTTTCTTGGACTTGTCTTTCATCACATACCTCAAGTCTCTCTGAGAAAGAAACTAATTCACTATTGTTTCTCCGCTGTGGGAGAGGAAGGCTGTGGGTAGGGAGTAAACTATAACCGAGATGTACACTTACTGTATTTCATGGTGGTTAGTGCCCTGGAACCAACGTTTTTGTTTCGTTTTTCAAATGCAACAGTCTGACAGGTTTTACTAATACTAGCCCTCATCTGGCTTTTACTGAGGTGTCTGTCTCGTGTTACAAACCATTCTGTGTACTGAGGATACAGCAGTGAAAAACAGTTAAAAAAAAAAAAAAAAAAAAAAAAGCCAGGCGCAGTGGCTCAAGCCTGTAATCCCAGCACTTTGGGAGGCCAAGAAGGGCCGATCACTTGAGGTTGTGAGTTCAAAGCCAGCCTCACCAACATGGTGAAACCCTGTCTCTACTAAAAATACAAAAATGTATTTGTACATGGTGGCACATGCCTGTAGTCGCAGCCACTCGGGAGGCTGAGACAGGAGAATTGCTTGAAGCTGGGAGGCTGATGTTGCAGTGAGCCAAGATCGCACCACTGCACTCCAGACTGGGCGACAGGGCAAAACTCCCTCTCCAAATAAAAAAGCTCTAAGTAATCAAATAACCAAGTAATTAATTACCCAAAGTCAGTCAGCAAATGAGTCAGAATTCAAGCCACAATAGCTATTATTCACACTAGTCACTCCTAAATTTTTTTATTTAGTGACAGTGTTTAAATTGAGCTAAGAATGTCTAACAGTATCTGAGTAGCTAAAGATTTGGAAAGTCTTGTCTTCTGCCATCCAACATTTGGTAAAGACATGGTTATTTTAGCCAGCATCCTTTTTTTTTTTTTTTTTTTTTTTGTATTGTTTTGTTGGAGAGAGTTTCACTCTTGTCGCCCAGGCTGGAGTGCAATGGCTCACTGCAACCTCCAACTCCCAGGTTCAAACAGTTCTCCTGCCTCAGCTTCCCAAGTAACTGGGATTACAGGCATGTACCACCACGCCCAGCTAATTTTTGTATTATTAGTAGAGACGGGGTTTCACCATGTTGGACAGGCTGGTCTCAAACTCCTGACGTCAGGTGATCCGCCCACTTTAGCCTCCCAAAGTGCTGGGATTAAAGGCATGAGCCACTGTGCCTGGCCTCTTTTTCTGAATATAAGTGAATTTTAAAAATCTGTCACCTGTGAAAGTAGACTAAATTCCAAGTCGTCAAAGTTCTGAATAAGCTGCCTACCTGGACTGCTGATCTGTAGTTCATCTAGCTCAAGGGAAAGCTAAGAAACAAAACAATCCTGTCTTTTAAAAAGGTTTGGGAAAAGCAGGGTATAGACGGGGCCACAGAGCACCCTTAAATGTTGAACTATAATGACACCTAAGTCATCCCTGTATTTGGCAAGTTTCCATGAAAGGGTGGTTCAAAATGACTCTTAATTATGTTTTTGGGTTTTTTCTAAAAGGCCATCTCAGAATTTTTTTTTTTTTTTTTTTTAGTTTGAAAGCAGCCTGTCCAACATGGTGAAACCTCATCTCTACTAAAAACACACAAAAAATTAACCAGGCATGGAGGTGCACACCTGTAATCCCAGCTACTCGGGAGGCTGAAGCAGGAGAATCGCTTGAACCCGGGAGGAGGAGGCTGCAGTGAGCCAAGGTTGTGCCACTGCACTCCAGCCTGGGCGACAGAGCAGACTGTCTCAAAAAAACAAAACAAAAACCTTTATGAATGCTCTTCAATGGCTGCCAGGTTTGCTTTTTTTTGGCATTTTGTTGTTAGGTTAGGAGGCTATCAAGAAATATGCAGAAAGCTAAATAGATCCCTTCCCTTCTCCTGTTCTCAAACTTACACTATTTCTAATAACCAAGTGAGTTAAGTGGGTTTTAAAATAGATTACTCCTCACAATGTTTCTTTCCTTCCACTTACCTGGCATGTGTAATCCCAAAGAATCTTTTAAATTTTGTGGTGAAAAATCCCATTTCTGTTCATTTGGATTTCCATTCATTATTTACTAGGCATTTAACTATGCTCTATGCTGGGGAATCCGATGGTCAGTAAGACATGCCTTGGGAGCTGTCTGGTAGGAAAGATGGACAAGTCACCAGGAAGTGACAGTAGACATTGGTAAATGCCATAGGAATATCCCAGGAATGGAGATACCAGCATCATCAACATGGGGCACAGAACCCTGGACCTGGGCCGGCTACATTAAGACTCTCTCAATGAGATGGTAAAATCAGGGACTATTTTGTTCATCCAGCTATCTGGGGTGGTAAGCACAGTTGCCCAAGGCATAGGGAGCCCCGCAGGAGGACAGCTGAAGAGGAAGGCACATTTGGGGGAAGGATGGCACATGAGGTGAGATCGGAGTTAATCAGGCCAGATTATGAGGGCCTCGGATGCCATACGAGGGACATGATGTTTCAGATCAATTCCTCAGGCAGCTGTGTGGATTGGCGATGGGACCTGCAATAACTCTGGGTTACCTAAAATAGTGGCAGTGAGGCTGGAAAGAAGTGGGACAGGAGGAAGTCATCAGCTACAGGTGGCTGCTGAAAGCAGAGAGGGAGAAATCACCCAGGAAGAATGGAGACACCAGGGGAAGCTTCTAGATAAAACAGCATCTCTTGGCTGAGCTAAAAGAGGAGCAAATTTGTCTTTTCTCTTTATGAGACAGGGTCTCACTCTGTTGCCCAGGCTAGAGTATAGCAGTGCCATCACGCCTCACTGCAGCCTCGAAGTCCTGGGCCCAAGCGATCCTCCCACCTCAGCCTCGTGAGTAGCTATGACTACAGGTGTGCTCTACATCCAGCCAATTTTTTCACATTTTTGTTGAGACGGGGTCTTCTGACCAGGCAGGGTGGCTCACGCCTGTAATCCCAACACTTTAAAAGGCCGAGGAGGGTGGATTACTTGAGGCCAGGAGTTCGAGACCAGCCTGGCCAACATGGCGAAACCCGTCTCTATGAAAAATGCAAAAATTAGCTGGGTGTGGTGGCGCATGCCTGTAACCACAGCTGCTTGGGAGGCTGAGGCATGAGAATTGCTTGAACCTGAGAGGCATTCCAGCCTGGGCAATAGAGACTAACAAAACAGACAAGTTCTGGAACTCCTAGCCTCAGGTGATCCTCCCACCCCTTGGCCTACCCAAAGTGCTGGGATTACAGGTGAGCATGGCACCTGGCTTAAGGAGTTCTGGCAGAGGCCCTACTCCCTGCCCTGCATCCTGTCTCCCATGGCCTCTGGCTCTAGCCCAAGCTTGTCCAACCTGTGGTCCAGGGCAGCTTTGAATGTGGCCCAACACAAACTTATAAGCTTTCTTAAAACACCATGATTTTTTTTTTTTTTTTTTTTTAGCTCATCAGCTATTGTTAGTGTTAGTGTATTTTATGTGTGGCTGAAGACAATTTTCTTCTTCCAGTGTGGCCCAGGGAAACCAAAAGATTGGACACACCTGCTCTAGCCAACGTTCATTCCAGCCCTCCTGTGTCAATCTGCTCTTCAACTCAGCCTTTCAACACACTCAGGTCCTGCTTATCTGGGCAGTTTGTGGCAGGAGCTGTGGAGGCTAGGGCATACCCCCTTCCACCCTCTCCAAAGCATTACTTTTACTATTAATATAATAACTTTGGAGGTGGCAAAGAGAAATTTATGTTAGAGCAAAACTACAAAAACTCTCATAGATCTGATACTGATGACTTGTACACTTCAGATCATTATCAGTGATGTAGAATACAACGTATTCTCAGCTAGCACGTTCTGCTACCAATTAGCTGCTTTTTACAGTGCTAACGTACACATTCTGTCACCTTAACACAGCTGGTTTCTCTAACAAGCCTTCATGTTTCGCACGTCAGCACCACCACCACTGGGCTCCTCTCACGAACCTGTTGTAACGGGCCTCCCAGGTGACTGCTATCTCCTGACGCTGGGCCCACCACCACCTGGAAGCCCTCAGGCGCTGACACTACCACAGGGATTTTCTTCACCTGGAATCTGAAGCAAATGTGCATTCTTCTGGCAGGGAAGCCTGCGGCCCTAGACATCCTCAAAGACGTTAACAACAAAAAACCCACAGCTTTAGACTCAATAAATTCAGCAGAGTTCACTTCTCCAAACATACGCCAAGCCAAAGTTTTCTCCAAGCCCTTTAATATTCACTTAAACAGTTGAGGCACAAGCAATAATAAAACTGCATTTTTTACGTTACAAAAAGATTTTGTATGTTATCTGCATGATATACCAATTTTCTCAATCTCTTCTGCAATAACATCTCATTAACACTCTGGTCCACATGTTGATTTAATAAAGTCAGAATGGCAGGTGGGAGGATGGTAAAATAAACTTACCAAGGGGCAAAAGGAACCAAACATTTACTGAGTGCCGACTATGCAAGCTCTACTAGGTTTTACACACTTTACATAAACGTGAACCTAAGTTCTAGTTATCAGTTAACAGGCCAGCATTGCTACAGCCAGTAAGTCTATGTTTTCAATGTTCTTTCGCTTTTAAGTACAAATTGTGGAACAAAACTATATCTTTGCCCAAAGAAGCACATCAACTGTTGCACTAATACATTATTTTCCATTTCCAAAGTTTTTTAGTAAGTGTGCAACATTAGCACATGGAAACGCTCAAGCTGTGTATTAGTTCACTGAGATCTGGGGTTTTTTTGTTCTCACCTGCTGAGCACCATTTGGCCAGCATCACTACAACAAGCTGATTACATCACCTTGTAAAACTTAAGATGGGGATGAATAGTGTTTGGCAATTACATTTCTGGGAGAAAAAACTGCTGATTTTTTCTTTAACTCGACACAGCTAGCTTTAAAAAGTGGTACCTCATTTTAAAGCACCAAAGTTGTCATTTAAATAAGAAAACGTACTTGGGTTAATGAACTGTAAAATGAAGATACCAACGCCTTTTCAAGCATTACAGCAAAGCCAGTATGTTCAGAGCCAAGTGACACCCAGCTCATACTGCACTCCAGTTCCCAAGGAAACGGCGTTTCTACCCTCCCCAAACTTAAGCTGCCCCTCACTCCTCCAGCCAGCCCTCCTTTTTCTGAGCCCATTCTTTCCTTGCTGAGCTATCTGCCCCTTGCTCCCTTTCCCACCCCTGTTCTCCCTCTAACTGCCCCTCTATACATGTCTGGGCTGCTGCCTAAGACTTCTTAGCTGCCTGGTTAGTCACTGACCAATCACCACTACACTGCTTTGGATTTGGGATCCCACTAGTAAAACTAACTGGCATGTCTGTACTGGTCATCCCCCCAAAAAAGCCCTCCTGTGTAACAAAAAAGCACTGTTTAAGGGTTCAGGATCACAAACCCTCAAGATACCCGAGAAAAGTCCTCAAATGTGAGTCGCCTAGTCTAACAGTAGAGGTAAGTTCAAAGATGAAATGTGATTTGTTCAAGGCTGTGCGGCTAATCAGAGGCAGAAACTAGACCTATTTCTCCTTCCACTGCACCACAAAAAAACCGAGATTGATAATGATTAAGAAGAGTTTGTAAGTCAATCAAAATAAAATGCCTAGTACATAGGAAAAGTCTTTGGGATTTCTCCAGACTTTTAGACAGAACAAAGGCAATCTTTACAATGAGAAATGCTCCTCAGTTCAACAGATGCCACCAAGTACCAAGGATCCTTACTCAGTTCTGAAACTGTGACTACGGAGAATATGTCACTATTTGAGAATAAGAGGTCCCACCTGCTCCACTCTTTTCAAGTTTTCAGTCACAAGGTTGCAACTTACTCTCATCGTTTCACAAGATAATCAAGTTGAAGCAGGATTAAGGAGGTACACTGAAGATAAAGCAAAAGGCAACAAGCATTTTTACAAGCAGATCATCCCAGTTACCTTAAAAGTTTCGGATTAATTTACAGAGTAGTGACAGAACCATATAATTTCAGTGAAAATCAAGATAGTTATACCATTAAAAAAAACATCAATTCAGAAATACTAAGTCAGGCAAGCATGCAAAATTCAGAATATAAAAAAATGCAGGGCCTGGTTGCCCACATACATTCCTCAGGTTAAGGTGGATTTAAAGATGCCCAACAGAACCCAATGAATCAGAAGCTAAAAGGGACACTTCAGTGATCAGCAGACGCATTCTCTCACGTAACAAATGGAGGGAAAGTGAGCACACATTAACTAGCGAAGCTCACAAGGCTAGATTAGGGGTGTACAGAAATCTAATTCCTGGTGCTATTTGCAACTACATATATTTAAAATACAAGGAGATAAATACCCAGAACACATTAAGCCTACTGATTTAAACAGAACATTTCAAGACTGCTACACAGAAAGGGAAGGAAGCTGTTAACCCAGCACAGCAGCACACCTCACATATTTACGTCTCAGAGATTAAATGGAAAGAAAGGATCAATCAAAACCTTTAATGCTCAGTTTTCACAAACACAGTCAAGTCTATCAAATTTCCAGATTTACAGCAAAATGTGCCCTCTAAAAAAGTGTACATTCTTCAGTTTCTCCTATACTTTTTTTTTTTTGCCTATCTTTCAAAACTGAGCACTGGGTATTTTTAACATAAGCCATGTCATATGTACAGTTTAACTATGTAACTATGTTTCAGGAATAAACAAAATCCATGATATTTTAGTAACTCATAGTGTATTTATAGAATGAAAAGTTCTCTATCAAAATACACTTTTCACTGGGAAAAATAAATAAAATAGACAAATGGATCTACACAAAGTAAACATTAACTTTGGTAGATTTCAGTGTAGTTCATAACAAGCATATTTGCCCTTATTCCCCCAGAGCTGCTCAACTACCAAGAATTTTTAAAATATTTTTAACTGAGATTTTATTATGTTGACATTTGTTTCTCATTCCACATCATCTTCAGCCAAGCTCTGAGCACTTACAATTCTCTGAAAGAAAAAAAAAATAATTTTTTAAAGTGTCATAAGCATTTAATTAGGATTCTAACTTCAAAATAAAATGCTCTTTGTATTCAAAGAATTGAATCTTAGTAAAGTTCACCCATTCTGACATTTAATTCAAAATGTAACACTTTACACACAGTCGGCATCCAAGAAAACAATGATCATACTACTGACAATCCCATTTCAAAAGTCAAGTTAACAAAGGAGGCAGATCATTACATTATATATGTTTTTAATTCAGATGGGGTCTCTGTAACCCAGGCTGGAGTGCAGTAGCACAATCTCAGCTCACTGCAACCTCTGACTCCTGGGCTCAAGCGATCCTCCCCCACCTCAGCCTCCTGAGTAGCTGGAACCACAGACTCATGCCACCATGCCCGGCTAATTTTTTTTTTATTTTTGGTGCAGACAGGGTTTTACCATGTTGCCCAGGCTGGCCTTGAACTCCTGAGCTCAAATGAGTGCTAGGATTATAGGGCATGAGACACTGTGTACAGCCATCATTACATAATATTACATCAGTCAATTATGTAACTAAAACCAAAAAGATTTTAAGATCTCTTTTCACTCCCAGGCAAACCAAGAACACTGATAATTGAGTGAAGGAGGTCATTTTTAAGGAATTAGGCTTCATAGTGAATTCACAAATATTCCAAAAGACATCACCCTCAGGCCAATTTTCCAAAAGTACTATACTATGCTGCCTTTCAAATAGCGTAATATTAAACCGATGATTCCAGTATGAATCCTCTAGAACTAGAACCACATTAGTCTAAATAAAAACAATTTAGACAAAGTCCTTGGTTGTCCAACTTGTTCCCTCAAGTCGTTGGGATCTTTACTTTCTTTCCAGTCCTTTTCTAATTCAGTTGAGTAAAAATCAGTTTGAAAAATTAACCAGTCAGTTACTAACTATAAAGTTCTGTAAATACTTCCTATCATCATTCACTGTTTTAATCACACCAACTTGGGAAATCAACACTTGTAACAGACACGCTATTCCAAAAAGCAAGATTCATTTGGGCTCCTTGAAAAGAACTCAAAATGAAGAGAAAGCATTTTCATTAACTCCTAATTTACACATAAGTTAATCTTTTACAGTATATTAATGCTATTTTGCATTTTTGAGTAGGGATTTGGGGATGTCGTCAAATAGCTCCAAACTCAAAGTGCACCTCAGCAGCAGCAGAGGCATGAGCCTTTACACAAGTGAGTCAGAGGGAATCCATGCTCTTGAATGTCTAGAACCGACGTTTAGGCCCGAATGTGTAGGCTATAGCTATCTAGGCTCCTCTGTCAGATCACCTAACTGAAGGCATGGTCTCCTGGAAGAGTAGGCAGAAAGCTACTTGTAGAAAGTAGCCAAGAGTGACCTGAATTTGGACAGTTGACTACTAAGACCTGAGACTTATCACTAAGACACACACTTCCTGATCCACCTCCAGGGCACAATCACTAGATCTGGGCAGTCATCTGGATGTTTCCCACCAGAGAGGAAAATGTCAAGCGCTGATATCTCCCATATTGTTTTCATTATACAGATAAGTTTATTTCATCATGTTCACTAGGCTCATTTTAAAATGTCCCTAATCATTCGATTCTAAATCCCACTCACTTTTATGTCATAACATTCCAATTCCTTACCTGACTAATTGTTGGGAGCTTAGTCAGAAGCATCTGGAACACTGGTGGTGGAAGAGTTTGCTGTAAGACCTGCAGTAACTGCTGTGGCTGTCCACACACAGCAATTGCATTTGTCAGATGGTCTACGCCCTTCTCATATTCACCTGTAAGATTTACATAAAATTACATGTAACCTGAAAAGCCTTGGCCTTTGTCAAAATTAACTTTACACACTATCTCCAAATGATGCTGACCAAAAACACTAAGCAAGTAAAATACTGGAAATGACCTATAATGCATTCATATAACTATTATGAAGCTACTAACAAGAATGAGTCAGATTACATGTACTGATATGGAAGTGTTTCAAACATATGTAAGGGGGAAATCAATGTATAAAAATGTCAAAGTATATTACTATTTATATACTTGGAATATTTCTGAAAGACTACATGAGACAATTGCTAACAATCGCATAGTACTTTTCTGTAACACAGAACTAAAAGACTGGGGACTGGGGTAGAAAGAAGACCCAATTTCACATTAAGCCAAATCTTTGTACTATTTGAATGGTATCGCATGGGAAGAAAAAAAAATTTTAAGTGATACTAGCAGGAAAAATGGTCATACTAATG
Source organism: Homo sapiens (assembly GCF_000001405.40). Lineage (NCBI taxonomy): Eukaryota > Metazoa > Chordata > Mammalia > Primates > Hominidae > Homo > Homo sapiens. The sequence continues at coordinate 235,114,382 of NC_000001.11, forward strand.
AAATATGACAGGAGAAATAAAGCCATGATTAACTCTGAGTGGGAGGGCTTATTTTTTCTTTTTTTTTTTTTTTTTGAGACAGAGTCTCGCTGTCACCCAGGCTGGAGTGCAGTGGCACGATCTCGGCTCACTGCAGGCTCTGCTCCCCAGGGTTCACGCCATTCTCCTGCCTCAGCCTCCCGCGCAGCTGGGACTACAGGCGCCCACCACCACGCCCGGCTAATTTTTTGTATTTTTAGTAGAGACGAGGTTTCACCGTGTTAGCCAAGATGGTCTCCATCTCCTGACCACATGATCCGCCCACCTCGGCCTCCCAAAGTGCTGGGATTACAGGTGTGAGCCACCACGCCCAGCCTATTTTATCTATAAATATCCTTCAATAGACATATTATGTTTGAAAAAAATACTTAAGGCTTACAGTTTTTCAAAGTTCACTTAATTCAATAAATAATAAGTATCTGCTATGTGCTCCTTGTCCTTAGTTAACTCCATTTTATTTATTTTTTGAGACACAATCTCCCTCTGCCACCCAGGCTGGAGTACAATGGTACAATCTTGGCTGACTGCAGCCTCAACCTCCTGGGCTCAAGCAATCCTCCCACCTCAACCTCCCAAGTAGCTAGGACCATAGGTGTGCACCACCACACCGGGCTAATTTTGCTAATTTTTTTTTTTTGTAGAAACGGGGTCTCACTATGTTGCTCAGCCTGGTCTCAAACTCCTGGACTCAAGTAATCCTCCTGCCTCCACCTCCCAATGTGCTGAGATTACAGGCATGAGCCACTGCACTCGGCCCTAATCCCACTTTAAATCAAACTCCAAAAACTGTCCCAAAATATTTGAGCAAAACTATGCTATTAAATATTTTAAATTAAGCACTGTTCTGTATAGGAGGTTCCCATTAAAATATTTTAATGTGCCTTACATAAAAATAACTCCATTAGATATACTTTTAAAAAATAATACGGCCGGGAGCAGTGGCTCATGCCTGTAATCCTAGCACTTTGGGAGGCCAAGGTGGGTGGATCACAAGGTCAGGAGTTCAGACCAGCCTGACTGACATGGTGAAACCCTACTGCTACTAAAAATACAAAAATTAGCAGGGTGTGGTGGTGCACACCTGTAATCCCAGCTACTTGGGAGGCCAAGGCAGGAGAATTGCTTGAACCCGGGAGGCGAAGCTTGCAGTGAGCCAAGATCGCACCACTGCACTCCAGCCTGGGCGACAGAGCGAGACTCTGTCTCAAAAAGAAATAAATAAAAATAAAAAAATAATAACAATACAAGTAGAGGAACAATTCTCAAGTCTGTCACATTTCTGTACTTCTGAGCAGATATTTACTGCCTTTGCTCCAAACTGTCTTTTCAAGGATGTTTGTACAGTAAACAACCTCAGAATATAAACTGCCTCCCTCAGGAGCAAAGGCAGGTTTGCAACATTACCTATGTGTAGGGAAAAGCACACACATGTTTACTGCCCATTATAAAAAATTCAGGATCCTTAAATTCAGGGCTCCTCTCCTATACGCAACCCACTACATGTACATGTGTCCCCTTTCTGCATTGCCATAGGAACTGTGGCTCGGGAAACCAGTGCAAATGCCAATACCCTTGTTACTATTATTGCAGTGAATAACGAGCTGTCCTTTGTCTCTAGCCCAGTGGTCTCATGTCTTTTGCCAGCATCCATGAAATTGGGGCAAACTAACATGTTAGCATGCAAGTAAAGTAAATCTCAGAAATGAACGGGAACGGCGGCTCACACCTGTAATCCCAGCACTTAGGGAGGCCGAGGTGGGTGGATCACCTAAGGTCAGTTCAAGACCAGCCTGGCCAACATGGTGAAACTCCATCTCTACTAAAAATACAAAAATTAGGCCGGGGTGTGGTGGTTCACGCCTGTAATCCCAGCACTTTGGGAGGCTGAGGTGGGTGGATCACGAGGTCAAAATATCGAGACCATCCTGGCCAACATGGTGAAACCCGGTCTCTACTAAAAATACAAAAATTAGCTGAGCATGGTAGCACGTGCCTGTAGTCCCAGCTACTCAGGAGGCTGAGGCAAGAGAATCGCTTGAACCTGGAAGACGGAAGTTGCAGTGAGCAAGATCATGCCACTGCACTCCAGCCTGGCGAAAGAGTGAGACTCCATCTCAAAAAAAAAAAAATTAGCTGAGCCTGGTGGCACACGCCTGTAATCCCAGCTACTTGGGAGGCTGAGGCACAAGAATTGCTTGAACCCTCGCTTGAACCCGGGAGGTGGAAGTTGCAGTGAGCTGAGACTGCACCATTGCACTCCAGCCTGGGCAACAGAATGAGATGCCATCTCAAAAACAAAACAAAACAAAACACCTCAGACCTTTTCCAGTTCTTAATACCATTAAGATCATTTTTTACTAGATTCTTTTTATTTACCAAACAATTTCCCACGATATAAATTCACAGGAAATTGATCTTAAAGAGTAAGAATGGGGCTGGGCACGCTGGCTCAAGCCTGTAATCCCAGCACTTTGGGAGGCCAAGGCGGGCGGATCACAAGGTCAGGAGATCGAGACCATCCTGGCTAACATGGTGAAACCCCGTCTCTACTAAAAATACAAAAAACTAGCCGGGCGTGGTGGTGGGCGCCTGTAGTCCCAGCTACTCGGGAGGCTGAGGCAGGAGGATGACATGAACCAGGGAGGCAGAGCTTGCAGTGAGCGGAGATCGCGCCACTGCACTCCAGCCTGGGCGACAGAGCGAGACTCCATCTCAAAAAAAAAAAAAAAAAAAAAAAAAAAAAAAGAGTAAGAATAGACCAGGTGCAGTGGCTCACACCTGTAATCCCAGCACTTTGGGAAGCCAAGGCAGGTGGATCACTTGAAGTCGGAGTTTGACTAGCCTGACCAACATGGTGAAACCCACCCCCTACCAAAAATAGGAAAAAATTAGCCGGGCTTGGTGGTGCATGCCTATAATCCCAGCTACTCATGAGGCTGAGGCAGGAGAATCGCTTGAACCCGGGAGGCAGAGGTTGCAGTGAGCCGAGATCACACCACTGCACTCCACCCACTGCACTCTGGGTGACAGAGTAAAACTCCACTTCAAAAAAAACAAAAAAAAAAAAAAAGGAGAAAACAGTTTCAGATCAATCTTACTAATTTTTACCCAGCAAGCTGAGGATATTAAGTATGTCTTAGGGAATATCTCTACCATCATACCCGATGCACTTGACCCTGTCAGCTGACGGCAAGCCTGGGTATCAGGATAGTCACTGGTGTTCTTTCCAGGCTCTTAAATCTGGTATATGTTTTCTGTGCTACCAATTGGCTGCTGTGGAAAGACTGAGAAACATTTTGGGTAAAATTTTGACTACTGCGGGGTATCTGATGGCACCTGAGTATAAGTAAAGGTTTCCAAGAGCTTTCTTAACCTCTTGACCATCAGCAGAAACAGGTGAATCTCCACTGCCAATGTGAGGACTATGATTGTCCCATCTACACAATGTTTCAGGATACTCCAATTGTGTAGGTCATTGTCATCTGGGTTCCCAGGCACCATCTTGGCCAATTCCTTTCCCAGGTATTGAAATGATGATGTAGTGATACCCATCACAAGGGATCCGACCCAGGGCTGCACACTGATCCACTGATGGTCACTTTAGAATTACAGTAATCAAAAGACTGGCTAAGTCAGTTCCTGCTTCTGAATACATACTATAATTAAATCTCTTCTGAACTAGCACTGTTGATTACTGTATCTGCAGATTTAGCAACAATGCTGAAGATACACTGACACAACCTCAGTTGCAGTGATCTTGTCATTTTGAGCTCCCTTCTTGTGCAAAGTGGATGTTGCTACAACTTTTGCTGACTGGATAGCCAGATCGTCGTAAGTGGTATCTTTTGTTAATACAACAGCATGGAGAATATCATAAAATCTATCTATCAGCATAGGAAGATCAAACCCAGTGTTATGCGATGCAAGGAGCAGAGCAACTCAGTATGCAGCACTGCTTTAGCACTGAGGGGGAATGCTTTCCCTTTCCCCAATGCCTGGGTCCTCTCTCTCAGATTGATGGAGAAATTGCAGTGTGATGCCTGTAGGAGACTTGGAAATGTTTCCTGACTGGTGCCTATCTTGTACTCCTCTGCAGTTACAGATTTTATGTATATAGTTTTTAAGAGACAGCATATCATTCTGTTGCCCAGACTGAAATGCAGTGGCACCATCACAGCTCACTAGAGCCTCAAACTCCTGGGTTCAAGGTATCCTCCTACTTCAGTCTCTGAGTAGCTGGCTACAGGTGCATACTACTGCACCTGGTTTATTTTCTCATTTACTGTAGAGATGAGGGTCTCACTTTGTTATCGATGCTGGTCTCGAACTCCTGGCTTCCAGCAATCCTCCTGCCTCAGTTCCCCAAAGTGCTGGGAATACAGGCATGAGCCACCATGCCTGTCCCTACTCACTGATTTTTACCCCTTCCCAGTCTGTTGGCAATTTGAGTACTGTGACTCTTTAGGTCAAATTAATTGAGCAATTCTATTGATATCAAAAAAGTATTTCTTGGCAAAGGGGAGACGTGATAAAGTTAGTTACCACCATTTTAAATGAATTAAACTCTCCCCATAAAAGAAACAACAAAACAAACTCATTCACACACAAATGCCCCACATCATGTAGTTCAATTCTATCTAAATCTATTGATACAGCAATCAGAATTTTAAAATATTTGATAGCAGTTTTAATAACGATAGCAACTACTTCAAATCTACTTTTGAGATTATTGAGTAAATTACGGTTCTCACGTTTGTCAATTTGATAATTTCAATTTCATAGCTGAACTTTAAAGATAGAATATTTTTTAGAAACTTCTTAGCACTGTTGATGAAATAAATGAAGTACAATGTAATGAAAAGGCTAAATTCTGGATCAGATAACAAGTTGGTTCTGAAATAAGGGGTCATGAACTCACCGTGTGACCTTGATTAGGTAAATTAACCTTCTCTGGGACCTTACATTAGCCATTCCTTCCTATAAATACTGGAAAAGATCTGAAGATTAGATGAAGGAGTTGAGGAGTATATTCCTAGCTCACATTCCTTCAGTTACTATTTACATATCGCACTATGGCTATACATTAGAAACTACTTCAGAGTAAGAGAACCTCATTTGTAAAAACTTACTATCTTCTACATCATATGATATAGCAAGAAAACCTAAAACTCACTTAAAATATATTATGGACAACAATATCCCACAAGGAATATTTCTTTCTAGAGCCAGTCTTACACAAAATAATCTTCCAATTATTAAGTGCCTAAAAACTTGTCTTGAGATACTTGGAGTACCTTTTCTAACAGCCAAATTACACAAACAAAGCCCCTTATCATTATAAATTTCTATCAGTGAGAAAAATTCTACCCATTTCCTTAGCTTTTCAATGACTATTACCTTGAGCTAGTAACTCTTCACCAAGCTGTATTTCTTCAAGGAAGAACTTCTGAACAGCTTCAGCATCTTTAAGGTCAGGTAACTGGAAATAAAATATTTAATAAATGACACCACAATTATGCCAGGGGATATAACCAATACACAGATATCAATAAAAATAAAACAACAAAAAACCAAATCACTCATTCTAAAAAAATCTGATAGAAGAACTTTACTCCTGAATACTTGTAGGAATTAAGAGTTCATCTACATTCAAATGAATAAAAGAAAAAACTTGAGTTTGTAGTTGAATAATTCTTAGAAAGCTCTAACTCGAATGTAAAGAGAAAAGAGTGCAAAATCTATACCGTCTACGCACGTTACAATATTTTCGGATGCCATTATTGTAGATTTTTATACAACTGTAAGCAATTTGTCCTTATGATTCAACATTATTTTATACAGATTTTGTTGTTTTTGTTTTTTTGTTTTTTGAGACAGAGTCTCATTCTGTCACCCAGGCTGGAGTGCAGTGGCACAATCCCAGCTCACTGCAACTCCCACCTCCCGGATTCAAGCGATTCTCCTGCCTCAGCCTCCCGAGTAGCTGGGTGCCCGCCACCATGCCCAGCTAATTTTTGTATTTTTAGTAGAGATAGGGTTTCGCAATGTTGGCCAGGCTGGTCTCAAACTCCTGACCTCAGATGATCCACCCGCCTCGGCCTCCCAAAGTGCTAGGATTACAGGTATGAGCCACCGCACCCAGCCTACATTTTACATGCATCTAAAAGACTGTTTTTTGAGACAGGGTCTCACTCTGTCGCCCAGGCTGTAGTGCAGTAGTGTGATCACAGCTCAGTGCCTTCACCTCTCAGGATCAAGTGATCCTCCTACCTCAGCCTCTCTCTATAAAAAAAATAAAAGATTAGCTAGGCATGGTGGTGCATGCCTATAGTCCAGCTACTAGGGAGGCTAAGGCAGGATTGCTTGAACCCACGAGGTCGAGGCTGCAGTGAGCTGTGACTGCACCGCTACTGCACCCCAGCCTGGGTGACAGGGTGAGACCCTGTCTCAAAAAAAAAAAAAAAAGAGGCCATTTTTATTTGAAAACCTGAACTTCAGTAGCTGGGTGCGGTGGCTCATGCCTGTAATCCCAGCACATTGGGAGTCCAAGGCGGGCAGATCACAAGGTCAAGAGATCGAGGCCATGCTGGCCAACACAGTGAAACGCCATCTCTACTAAAATACAAAAATTAGCTGGGCATGGTGACATGCACCTGTAGTCCCAGCTGCTCGGGAGGCTGAGGCAGGAGAATCGCTTGAACCTGGGAGGCAGAGGTTGCAGTGAGCCAAGATCACACCACTGCACTCCAGCCTGGTGACAGAGTGAGACTCCATCTCAAAAAAAAAAAAAAGAGAAAACCTAAACTTCCATTAGTGCAAGTTTTTGGTCCTTGAATTACACTGTACATACTCTTATTAACCTAGCCAACACAAGTGAAACAATTTAAATTTCTGAAAGTGGAGACATCTTTCACACACTACCCCAGCATGTAGCAATAATTTAATTCTATTCTTGAATCTAAAAATACATACTGGTGCATGTCTCAATCTGTTTTCCTATGCCCTTAGAAATATAAGTTACCAAAAGCATAATAAACATATTACATACTTCAGAAAGGTAGTCTGATCCTACTAGAACGAAGTAGTTTCCTCCCATTTTCACTTCACTATTACCATGTCCAGTCAACTAGCTGTGTTTACACAACTGTTTCAAAATAACAAAATATACTGGTTAACTTAATTTTTCCTTGTCTCAACTTGCTTTAAAAAGAACCACTAATGATCCAGTAATCCAAGTCCTAAGAACCCAAACAATAGAACTCATCTCAATAAAAAGGAAAAGCTGCAAGCACAATGATTAACATTTACTTAATTTACTTACACACGCCACAGAACATTTTTTTACCAAGTAGATAAACCTACATAGTCATTAAAAATAATCAAGAACTCAGGATCTATGAGAAGAAAAAATAAATTACAAGTTTTATATCCAGAACTATGTACTGCAACAAGGCAAAAATTTGTCAGGGCAGTGGGATTCTGGATCAGTGGGCTTGAATAATCTTGAATAATTTTTGAAATAATAACCCATGGTTCTTTTACAGGAAGTTGGAGTAAAGAAATTAAATCTTAAGTGTAATATTGTATCATTTTGAAGCAGCTGATTAGGAACTTTTCATCTTTTGGTGCAAATGTCTTGAGGCCCTCATCTTGCTCCTTAATTATTGTTCATACAGTAAGCTGTTTGTTGTTATGGCCAGCAAAAGAAATAATGAAGGACTCGATAACTGTCATTGGAACTACATTATTCACCTACTCCTAAAAATAAGCTGTATTTTAAAATAAAAAAGCAATGTCCAGTATCAACTAGCTTTTTCCAATTACATTTTAATTACATTTCCAATTACAGATTTTAAAATAATATTTCTACAAAATATATAATTTAAACAGAAACCAGACTATTACCTTGGAAAGCCCAGCTCTCTCCTTGGCAAGCTTCTGTTTCTTTCTTCCTGCAAGAAATGCAAAGTTATATTTACATTTTGTCATTATAAAAATGGGAATCAAAAGAATTCTAACTGCTGTGGCAGTCATTAATTCCATTTGCAAAACATTTCTAACTCTAGGAATCTATCCCTCCCTGTGATCTGTCAAGAGCATATGACATGTTCTGGTCAATGAGCTGTAGGAAATGTGACACTGCACTGGAGCGTTCTCCTTCCCTTTGGGGCAGAAGATCTAGCAATTTGCAAGATGGAGATAGCTCCAATAGCTGGACTTCTAAAGTAATTACAATAAGCAGATCAAGTCCCCCCTTCCAACCAACAAAGGATATGTAACAGGGGCAAGAATTAGGCCACTAGTATTAGGGAGTTTTATTACTGAAATATGCCAGATTATATCTTTACTGAATGTTGCAAACTGGCATTCTTAAATGAAAGAAAAAATCTAAAGTGTACAGGAGGCATATGATGGTTACATGAAAATACTATACCACTTAAAGGTACTTGAGCATCATCAGAATTTGGTATCCAGGGGAGGCCTGGAACCAGTCACTCAAGGATACTGATGCAGGACTACACCTAAAGTGATAATCACTAAAAACTACCAATGACATAGAGAGTAACTGCTGACATAGTTAAGAAAATGTAAGGCTCCAATACTTATTATTAGCTAATACTTATTAGCTGGGTGATCTTAGGCAAATCTCTCACTCTCCCAAGATAAGGTCTAACCTTACAGGACTACAGTGAGAAACAAAAGCCATGAAACAAGCAAATGTCCTCTGAAAACCTTAAAGCACTCTACAAATCCAAGCTTCAATGCATGACTAAAGAGGTCTGAGGGCCGGGCCCAGTGGCTCATGCTTTAATCCCAGCACTTTAGGAGGCTGAGCCAGGCAGATCACAAGGTCAGGAGTTCGAGACCAGCCTGGCCAACATAGTGAAACCCCATCTCTACTAAAAATACAAAAATTAGCCGGGCATGGTGGCGGGCGCCTGTAGTCCCAGCTACTCAGGAGGCTGAGGCAGGAGAATTGCTTGAACCCGGGAGGCGGAGGTTGCAGTGAGCAGAGACTGTGCCACTGCACTTCAGCCTGGGCAACAGAGCGACACTCTGTCTCAAAAAAGAGGTCTCCCTACCTGTAGACAGAA